>NC_000010.11:4252424-4403939 GCF_000001405.40 Homo sapiens | reverse complement strand
TTCCGGCTTCTGTTAGTTTTCTCTGATGGGCATAGCTTCCTATGTCTCAGCAGATCATTTCCGGGTAATCTCAGATTATGTCTCTGGTGTCGTGAATAAGAATGTGAGGATACTCTGGCCTCCTTAGGTTTCTCCGATGGGCATGGTTTCTTTTGTCTCAGCAGATCATTTCCGGGTAATCTCGGATTATATCCGCAGTGTTGTGAATATGAATGTGAGGAGACTCTGGCCTCCTCAGGTTTCTCTGATGGGCATGGTTTCCTATGTCTCAGCAGATCATTTCCGAGTAATCTCGGGTTATATCTGCGGTGTTGTAAATATGAATGTGAGGAGATTCAGGCTTCCTTAGGTTTCTCCGATGGGCATGTTTCCTATGTCTCAGCAGGCCTTTTTCTTGGCTAGTTTGATCTGCAAACTCTACTCCTTGGGAGGCAGCTCTGGTCTTCGTCCAGATCACTTCATTTAAGCTGAGATATTTTTGAACTATCCTACACGTCCATGATTTAGGAATCAGCAGGAGATGTGGGTAGAGAGATTTAGGTGATCCCTCTTTCTGCTCCTTTTTTTATGGGATATCGTAATCTCCTTGTCATCGTTCTCCCAACCTCGCTTTCCTGTGCCCCTGGTCAGAATACTGGAGGGATCTTCCATCTCTGTCCCCCCGGCACTGGTCATGCTACACGGACTACTTCGCCCCGGGCCACAAGCAACAAATTTTTATACCTCCTGGTCTTCAATGGTCTTGGAAAATGTGCACACCCTCCATCCAGTCTGTCTGCTCTTGGCCAGCCTACTCTGGTGCCTGCAGGCACTCGCTTTTTGTGCTGTGTCCAAGGTTTGCCATTCCTTTCTGCAGGAAGGTCCGGTAGGGACTTAATTTGTCATACATAGAAGCAAACATTTATCCATGTGGTAGCTCATGTTTTCACTCGTAGGGCATCATTTGAGGAACGGAATTTATTAGTTTGAATATAAGGTACCAATTTCTTACTTTCTGATTAGTACTTATTATGCTGTATTTACCTAATGTATATTATCAAGATTTCCTTCTGCATTTTCTTCTAGAAGTGTCAATGTTTTAACTTTCTCATTTAGAAACACAATTAAACAGAATTGATTTTTGCATGTGGTATGAGTTATTGATCAGAACTTCTTGCCAGTGAAAACACTATGAGATCCATTTTGACTTTTGAATTTCAATATGGTTATGTAATTATAGCTCAGCATAGTTAACAACATAGAACAAAATCTTAAATAATGCCAGATACAAAATCAATTTCTAAATTTTATTTATGCTTAGAATTAATTTAGATGTCTTCACAGTAGATACAAGACCCAAAAAATAAGTTGTTACCAATTAATCAATCTTTAAAGTTCTGAACTATGTTGGACAGTTAAAATGACATCAACAAAAATGTTTTGAGCAAATTAACTAATCTCAGGCAACTCAATTAAGTGTCTGAAGGCAAGCATGTAATTAGAATCCTCTCCTCTTTGCCATTTAGACTTTACACGTTAAGTATGCTTGAAGTAGTTTCTGTTTTATGAATTAAAATAGAATGATCTTTACTTTTCTCCCTTTATGAATGAAGTTCTGACCATTTACAAATTTAGCAAGCAATCTATACATGTTCTTTCTCTGTTTCATGAAAGAAATAAAATTATATAGAATCATAAAAATAATCTATAGTCTTTCACGTCTCTTTCATTACCATTTTAGGCATTTTCTGTATAGAAAACAAGAGATAAAAAGAAAAGGGTAAAAATTAACAATTGAGAAAAAGAATTAATTATAAAAAATTAAAAAATAAAATAATGGTAGATGTGATACAAAGAGTAAACAAAAAACACTTGATTTCTCAAGTAAAATGTAAACTAAGTATGTATTATATTTCGAGAAAAAGCTTAGCCTTGTAAAGTAATTTTTTATAATATTCACTATGTACCTGCAAGGCAGACTCTTAAATCACCTGTGTTTAATTTTACACTTCCTGTGTTACTCATCCCTCTATCCCCTAACTGCAGTGCTTTTCCAAATGTGATTAATGATGTTAATTGCCCTGTTAGAAGAAAGAGTCTCATAGATTGACAGTATAACAAAGGTGATATAGCCTGGCCCCCAAACACAGATGGTATTTTGATAGCATTAAATGGATAGTTTATTTGTGTCCATTCTATCTACTGAATATTACATTAATAATCTTATATTTAAAAAATTCAATTCAAAGCAATATTTCACCAATTTTCATATTTAAAATTTGTTGATACATGCACATTGTCACTGATGACAGAACAGCATTGCAAGTGGGATGGAAAAGTAAAACCAATCAATTATGGTTAAATAATGTGGCCAGGCGTGGTGGCTCACTCCTGTAATCCCAGCACTTTGGTAGGCTGAGGTGGGCAGATCATGAGGTCAGGAGTTTGAGACCAGCCTGACCAATATGACGACACCCAGTCTCTGCTAAAACTACAAAAATTAGCTGGGCGTGGTTGTGCATGCCTGTAATCCCAGCTACTCAGGAGGCTGAAGCAGGAGAATCGCTTGAACCTGGGAGGCAGAGGTTGCAGTGAGCCAACATCGTGTCACTGCACTCTACCCTGGGCCACAGAGCGAGACTCCATCTCAAATAAATAAATAAATAAATAAATAAATAAATAAATAAATAAATAAATAAGTTGTCATTTGCTGAAAACCTATTTTGCATTGAACCTCATATACATTTTCCTTTTTTCCCTTGTATTTGTACTTTTCTTCCCAATTTAGTTAAGAAAAAGTATGCCATTATGTTTAATTTTGTATGTCAATTTGACTGGACCATGAGGTGTCCAGATACTTGTTCAAACAGTATTTCTGTGAGTGTGTTTTGGGATAAGATTAACATTTAAATTAGTGAACTTTCAGTATAGTGGATTGTTCTCCCTAAAATGAGTGGGCCTCATCCTATTCATTGAAGGCCTGAATAGAACAAAATGGCTGGCTCTCTTGTGAGTAAGGAGAATTACTTCTGTCTGTCTTTGAGCTGGGACATTGGTATTTTTCCTTCCTTCAAGCTCAAATGGAAACACTGGCTCTTCCTGGGTCTTGAGCTTGTTGGGCTTTGGGTGGGGAACTCCATCATCAGTTTTCCATGTTCTCAGGCCTTTGGACTTGGACTGGAGCTGACACCATCAGCTCCCCTAGGCCTCCAACTTACTGACTGCAGCTCTTGGGACTCCCCAGCCTCCAAAATAATGTGAGTCAATTCCTGGACCTGCTTCTAGAGAACACTGATTAATTTAGCACAGATAGGAACTCATGAGGTACAGAGGGGCATGAGATGGAAGGGGAAATTTCTTATATATCTGGCAAAACAAAGAAGTCAATGTTTATTTGGTGCTATTTTTAACACCTGGGTGAAAAGGAGAACTAAATTATACGACAATTTTCCTTACTCTAATTCCAAAACGAATAAAATACATAAATAAGTGTACTAGTCTGTTCTCACACTGCTGATAAAGACATACACAAGACTGGGTAATTTATAAAGAAAAAGGTTTAATGGACTCCAGTTCCAAATGGCTGGGGAGGCCTCACAATCATGGTGGAAGGGGAAGAAGGAACAAACGCATGTCTTACATGGTTGCAGGCAAGAGAGTGTGTACAGGGGAACTGCCCTTTATAAAACCATCAAATCTCGTGAGACTTATTCACTATCAGGAGAACAGCACGGGAAAACTTTGGCCCCATGATTCAATTCATGAGTCCTGTGCTTTTGACAGTCTTGTCATCTCCAAGAAATTCACTTTTTTTCTTTTATAAAACCACAGTGTGGGGATCATGTGAGATAATATGTGTGAAACAGCTCCTCCATATGCAATTTACCCCACAAAGACAAGCTATTATGTTTTTCCAACTGAAGATCTTTTAGGGCCTAAAATGATGCAAGCCAAAAGCATAAATGATAGGGGCGCTGGAAGGAATTATGTATATTGGTGAAAAAAGAGGTTTTTTTAAATGTTTGTTTTTTAGAGCACTGGTCTTTTGGTAACCCCTCTAAGTTGGTGTTTAGACTCTATTGCCCTACTGTCTGCACACACGTGTAGAGGACGTGATTCACACCATAAGTGTATCTGTCCTCATAAATACTGTAAAAGGAAATTGCCTTGTCATGTAGCTCCTTTCTCAGCAGCACAGAAATGGAATCACACGGCATAGTTAACTTCATTCCCAGAATTTTTTTGTAATAGCAGGACAGCTGTTCAGCATAACTTTTCCTGTTGCTTTTCAATTTATAGTGCATATGATAAAACAGATTTGGAAGTAAAGGCCAACAAGCTAGTAGATGAACTTCATGAAATTCAATTTGATCATGCCATAAGCTTTTTTTTCAATGGAGCATATTAGGTCTCATGGGTATTACCTTTGAGCTAGGCATCGGTTTCCAAACCTGGCTTAAAATACAATTTAAAAAATAAGCTGCAAAACAATCATTATCTGGTAAGCTGCTTTAAAAAATCTTTTGATTTTCTCATTGGTAACACGTGTTTGGGAAGAGAGCAGATCCCATTTTCATAGCCCCATTACTTAATGTTGCCTATTTTGATACTGAAGTTTAATTCTCAAATCAAATATTCTAACACTGAGAAATAAAATATTCAAATATACCAACGGTGATATTTTACAAAACGCATCCAATCTCTTTTACCTTTATGTTGCAAGGTAAAATATAAGAAAGTCTAAAACTCAGAATATTAAAGCTGGAGAGAATTTTAAAAAGTCATTTGTTTAGGTGTATAAATTAACCTAACCATGTGATCAATTGTATTCATTTTATGTTTTAGCTTCACAAATTATCATTTTAAATACATGACTTCCATTTCTGGTATCTGTAAATAATGGCCAGAAGTGAAAAAGGTTGCAGCTGGAAAATATTTTATTAAACCACCAATTCTTTTCCGTGAAGTATTTCCAGAAAGCAGAATTTGCATTATTCTTATTGTTTAAAATGCCAAACAACAGCTAAGCTTCAGTCTCAGCTGGCTTCAAATACCTGTTTTTTAACCACATCATTTTCCTTCTTTCTCTCTCTTTTCTTTCTCTCTCTTTTCTTTCTTTCTTTCTTTCTTTTTTCTTTCTTTCTTTCTTTCTTTTTCTTTCTTTTTCTTCCTTTCTTTTTTTCTTTCTCTCTTTTTCTCTTTCTTTTTTTTATTAAGCATTTTGAATTGCATAAAGCTTCGTTCCATGAATTTTAACTGGGGTAGATCCCAGAATACTGATACAAGTGTTCTGAAAAATTACATTAACTTCAGGGTCCTACGATTTACCTGCTTTTCAGAAAGAACTGCTTCATTAATTACTGTTTGTCCATATCACTTTGAACATTATAGCAGTAGAGCAAGTAGCGCAATTTGCAGAAAAATATCTCAATCGAAGGCCCATTTCCAGGGGATGTTCATCGTTCAGATTTGAAGTGAGAACACTTTCTTTAAACAGGAGCCAACAGCAACACCTGGCTGAACTAATACTGAGGCTCAACGAACTCTTCTTCGTATTTTAGAAAGCGCACATTTTCCCTCCTTTTATTTCTCATTGCATAGAAATCTGAAGCCAAGCACACCGAGAGGAACTATTTTGTAATCATTTTGATTGATCTATAAGCAGGAGGCTTGCAAAACCCCTTAAGAACTCATCCTCATAGATTTGTAGCTCAATTAAGCAGACTCACTTAGTCAGGATAGGCAGGCTGAAGAGTACCAAGGGCTCAACTCCCAAAGACACTAAGATCTTATGCAATGTATTATTTTTAAAAAATATCTTGTTTCTTTGTACTGATACATTTTCTTCAAATCATATGGGAAGGAAACTACATCTCTGAGGTATGCTGTAACTACAGTTGAATTTCATAGCCCCAAATTTTCTTCATATTTTGTCTCCAGGAACGTTAAGTATAGGGTCAGGGGAGATAGGAAATACCCTTGTTATTTAATGGTTCAAAGACTGAATAATGTTTTAATTCATGCTGGCCAAATGACGAAGAAGGAAACTCACGTGTCTGAAATCCACTTCAGGCACCACTGCCCTAACTCTTTTCAGGGTATATTAAAATGATGGAAACTAATAAATCTTTGAGCTCACACTTGGTCCCAGGTACAGAGGTAACTTTTTGTGCTTTACATGTTAATTTTCTCACTGCTACTGTGCAAGGTAAGTCCCAAGAAGAAAAAAAGGCTTAGACATATTTATTTTAATGAAAGTAGGAAACAAATGGGACAGTGGGACTGGGGAGAGAAAGAGAGATGGGACAAAGAAGAGGAGAGGAGAAGAGAGGAAAACTTGCTCAAGAGCCTGCAAGTGCACATTTAACTAATTAAACAACTCACCTAGGGTCACATGGCTAGGAGCGTTGCCAGAATAAATATGTGGCTCGTTTGATGCTAAAACCTATGCCTTGAAAACACTCGCTGCATACTCAGGGCCCTGTGGCAGATACTGATGTGATCTCCTTTTTTTTTTTTTTGGACACACAGCAAGATACATTTTCCAGTCTCCCTTACAGTTAGAGGTGCTCATGTAGGCAAGCTCTTGCCAGTGGAATATGCCATCCCTTCATGGTCTGGCCACTAAAGCCTTTTCACCACGTTATCTCTCTTTCCCTATTGGGAAGCTGAAGGATGACCTCAGAGCCCACAGAAGAGGTCAAAAAGGAAAATAAAGCTACATAGTAGAAGGGTCCTGGGTCCCTGAAACATTATGCAGAAGGCTTTCTGGGAGCAGGTGCTTGAAGTGCTATGTGAGCAGGATGTGAGCTTCTATTGGGTGAAGCTTCTGTGCTTTGGGGGTCATTTGCCATAGTAGGTAGATGTTCCCGGCTAATACAAACACAAGGACAGTCAGGCATCACTTAATGATGGGAAAACATTCTGAGAAATGTGTCATTAGGCAATTTCCCTCTTGTGCAAACATCAGAGAGTGAACTTACACAAACGTAGACAGTACAGCCTACTACACACCTAGGTGGCATTTTGTACAGCATGTGACCAAATACCATAGGCAATTATAACATAACAGTACACATTTGTGTCTAAACACAGAAAAGGGTATGGTGAAAATATGGTATTCCAATCTTATAGGACCACCATTATATATACATTCAGTCATTGAACAGGACGTTGTTACATGGTACATGGCAGTACACAGAGCAGTGTGGCACACCTCAACCTCCTCCAGCCGTATTTGTCCTACTTGACCGTAAAGTTTAATCAGATAAAATATGTCCTACCAGTGTCTTAGCCTCTCACAGATACCAATGCCTCCATCTCTAAGGGCTGAATCCTAAATATTTCCTACCCAGAGGAACAGCATGAGGGAAATTCTGAGCCCTCTGCAAACCATGTTATGTGGGTAGTTGCCTATTTACGTACTGGAGGGGTAAGTCCTATTTGCGCTCCGTTCAATTTTCTGTCAACAGGTAAAAAGAAATAATTAGAAAAACAGAGAAAGTGACAAGTGTATTAGATTCTTAAAACCGTTCTATGTGGATGAAAGTAGAATGTCACCATCATGTATTATTAAATTTAAAGCTGTAAAGAGAAAATAAACTCTCTCTTCACCATTCCCAATATAGACATATGTTTCTCATCTCAATGGCAAAGCTAAAGAAAGGGACCTCTCCAAGAGTGTTCTACCGAGGGCTTCACCTCCTCATAGATTTCTGCAATCTCGGGCCTCAAGTTGAGTTCCATGCCAATATATCTGGATGTTAATCCATGCCAATATATGCGGATGTTAATCCACAGCAAGAGAATGCTGTCTTGCTGCTGTTATGGTTATTAGCATAGGCGAATTCTATTAGCTGCATACTTCTTATGGATATGAGTTTATCTCCACAATATCCTGGAGGGAAGATGGGCGATGACTTTTATCAGCACTATTCTGGTGATTAAGTGGCTAGAGAGAGAAGTGCGAAGCCATTTGCCAGTGTAACGCAGTCCATCGAAAACACAGTCACATTTACTACTCAAAGGATTTCCACTGTTGTGCCCTTAGGCAAAGACTCTCACTCAGCGATTCTTCTGGGTTTGTGGACAAAATTCCTGTTTTAGAAAAAATTTTCCCCAAGATAAAAAAAAAATTATTAATGGCCTTAGTCACTGAATTAGATTCAAAATATTTAAAATAATGACATTTTCTTTGTTTGTTGCCTGGGAATGTTTCCCAAAAGCACTTACTCTAAAGTAAGAGAATGACGAGGAGGATCTGTTTGGAATAAACTTCACTACTGATCTATAAAGTATATAGAAATGTTTTGCAATATTCATAGCATATCATCGTGAGTTTATTTCTGTTCCTTAATCATTGGAGATACTTTAGCATAGTAAGTCTGAATTGCTCAAGGGCCCCTGAATGTCCCACACAAGAAAATGTGTTTCAAAGTATCGCTATATATACAAAATAAAAGGCAGCTTCCTTAGTCTGACCTGCAAGGCCCTCAATGATTCCTTCCCAAACTATCTCCTGAGGTATGCTTCTGCCACACATGAACATATTCTAAAGTACACACAAATCACCCTGCTCCGGAGTCTATTACACCCTGAAACTGTCTTTATACATTCCATGATGCTTATCCCATTCACTTGGAATAACTTTATCTTCACTTGGAATAACTTTATCTTCATGTTAATTTTACATTTTAAATTCCCTTTTCGTCTTTAAAATACCAGACTTAAAATGCTACAATTTCTCTTGAATTCCCAAATTACCTTTGTGGGATCACCGAGTTCCTCTCATGCCTCCCATACTATTTACCAATGGCTTGTGTACCCTAGGAGCAAAAAAACTGTCATGTTCAGTCTTTTTTAAATTATCTGTAAGGACTAGTCATGTGTTTCATATGTAGTAAGTGCTTACTTCTCATATTCAACCATTGTTTGATGAAACTGTTTCAAACTAACTTTTTCTCACATGAAAGAGCTACATTTAGATTTGGAAAGGGATGTACATTCTCCATAGGACCCAAAGGGGTAATAGCATATATTCCATTGCACTAGTCATTTTGGATTAAGGATAATCTTAGTTTGGATTCAGCTATCATTGTTTATGTGTTCTGTGTTTTTCCTGGGCTTCCCTCCATTGTATGGAGATTAGAATTTTAAATTTTCTAAAGAAGTTTCTAACACATCAGATGATGTTTATCTAGGTTTTTAGATAAACATATGTTCTCTTGCTGACTATTTAAAATTAAACCAACATACCAATAATACCAGATATTTTCCTGAACAGTCCATCTTATTTATTTATTTATTTATTTATTTATTTATTTACTGAGACGGAGTCTTGCTCTGTCGCCCAGGCTGTAGTGCAGTGGCTTGATCTTGGCTCACAGTAACCTTCACTTCCCAGGTTCAAGCGATTCTCTTGCCTCAGCCTCCCAAGTAGCTGGGATCACAGGCATGCACCACCATGCTTGACTAATTTTTGTATTTTTAGTAGAGACAGGGTTTCACCATGTTGGCCAGGCTGGCCTAGAACTCCTGGCCTCAAGTGATCCGCCCGCCTCGGCCTCCCAAAGTGCTAGGATTACAGGCATGAGACACCACACCTGTCCCTGAACAGTCCTTTTTAAACAATATATCTGAAGGATGTATTTTCATTTCTAGAGGGACATTTATACTTAAAAATAAACAAAGGCAACAAGGATGACTAGGCCGATCTCTCCTAGGAAAAAAAATATAGCCAAAGTCATGAGGAGTGGAAGAAAATGATTACCACAAGTTACTGGGGTTAGAAGCACTATCACTCAAGGGAGCGTATTTTTAAAATTCAGGTGTATTCAGGAGATTGTCTAGTTTATTACGTTATCAAGATATCCCTTCACTAGATCGCCCTCAAATCCTTTATATGACAAGACAGTCTGTCCTTGAAGGTTTTTATAAAATTGCTTAAATCTTAATCCCACATTTAGTGGAAAATAAAACACTCTCCCACATTTACAAGAATTCTCTGGAAAATTGGGGTGGAGTCTAATGAGATTGCTGTAGTGAAGGCTATGGTACTTGTCCTGTATACTTATATCTCCCTTTATTCAGTGTATTTACAGATGTCAGGTTCAGCGAATCATTTGTATTTAAGGATACAAAAATATATCAGGGAAAAATGAAGTTGTAGAAATACAATTTGCTGCTTTTGTCATTGCATTTAATAGACCCTAAACACAATTAACATAAACCAAAAAATATGAAGAGTGTGGGAAGTGTTTCTGATAGGATTTGTGAAATTTAAAAGGCCAGTCCCTAAGACATAGGGGCGCTGGACCACCTCATAAATCCACACTTCAGAGCGTCACCATTGACCAGGTTCTGCTGCCAAAGGAACCTATACTTGTTAATTTTCAATGTCAAATTCCACATTTCTCGATGGAACATGAATGGCTCACATTGGAATAAAGGTTCTATAACTAGAAACGTCTTTCTTGTTTTATAACCAGGCAGGCAGGCAGGCAGGTAGGCAGGAGAACAGAATGGGCTACTCAAATCCCACAGTGCTGAATCTGGAGCTTTGCGTGGAGAAAGAGAACGTAGAGGTGGTTTATTTTCGTCTTCACCTGACAAGGATCCTGAGTCTGTGGAGAGTTGAGGGCTGTGCCCAAGACTTTGCTGGAGGCTTCGCTTTAGCTAGAAGAGAGGACTCCTAATTCCCACTTCTTTACTGTGTTTAATTGACCTGGAGATGCATGATGGAAGTTAGATTACAAAGACTGGAAGATTGAATGGATATTAAATCACCAGGTCTTCAAGGAAACAGGGGAGAATTCTATGTCTTGAACTTATAATCTGAGAAGGTAATTCAAGCATGGAGAACACCAATGAGGCACTTCTGCTGGTTCGTTGCATTTCCCTATGTCACTGCTATGCAGCGGCAAGCCGTAGGAATAAAAATTGTTAGGAGAATATAAATGATCATGTAGCATCATTTTCTCAGCTGCAGACTTTATCTCAACATGCAGCGTTTAAGATCCTTTTCACTCTGTGTCGGATTGGGTTCCTCGTCCCCATTCAATGTGCCCTCCTGTTTGAGACACGCAGTCCAGCCTGATGGCTCACAAACTTAGGTCCCCACGCCGGCCGCATCAACATCAATGCAAAACTTGTTAGAAGTGACATGCTTAAGGTACTTCCTGAGAACTGTGGAATCAGAAACACCGGGAATGAGGCCCAACAGTCTTTCTTTTAACAAGCCTTCCAGGTAATTTTGATACATGCTAAAGTGTGAGAACCACTAACTCTAGCCTATTGATATTGCCTTTTTAAACACTATCCCCAGCCAGGTGCGGTGGCTTATGCCTGTAATCCCAGCACTTTGGGAGCCAGGGTGGGCGAATCACTTGAGCCCAGGAGTTTGAGATCAACCTGGGCAATGGGTGAAACCCTGTTTCTACTAACAAAATACAAAAAAAACAGAGAAATAGCCAGGCATGGTGGGTGGGTACCAGCTCCTCAGGAGACTGAGGTAGGAGGATTGCTTGAGCCTGGGAGGTCGGGCCTGCAATGAACAGTGTTTGAGCCATTGCATTACAGCCTGGGCAACAGAGCAAGACCATCTCACAAAAAAGAAATTAAAAAATAAACACTACCCCCAATAAATACTTATTTTATATGTAGCTGATTTTAGTTATTTTCATCTGAGCAAACTTAGAGTACATTGTATATGTACAGTATTATTCTAAGTATTTTAGAAATAGTAACTAATTTAATCCTCTAACAGCCCTATGACATAATAGCTCTATCATTTCAATCTTACAGTGGAGGAAACAGGCACAGAGTAGCTGGTGGAAGATGTGAGTCCCGTGCTGGGAAGCCTGGCTCCCAAGCCACCCTCTCACACAGGATCCTAATAAGACCACTCGTGACCAGCCCTCAGCTCACTCTGGGCTACCCTTCTCAACCCTCACTTTGAATATGCATTTGTTATTTCTACCACTCATTGTCCACCTTCATTCTTGCAGCAAGAACTTTCCAGCAGTCCCTGGGGAACACTTCCTCTAATCCCTTGCTAACTAAAATGAAGTGTGGCATCAGCCCAGCAGCGGCAGTGCCCCCCGGAGGTGTTAGAAAGGCAGAACTTCAGGCTCTACCTTGGAGCTGCTGAATCTGAATCTCATTTAACAAGATCCTCAGGAGAAGCAAATGCACTGTCCTACCACAGTCTTCATAACATTCTTCCAGGGACAAGTCCATCTGCAAGATGCAGAAATGAGCATTGATCTGGGGGAATTTGATCAGCAATAATCAATCCCTCTAGCCACAGGAACTGGTGCCTGATAATAACATAATGCAAAGCAAGGCAATAAGGTGAGTGAAACTTGAGGGGCATGACTTCTTGTGTGTGTTTTTGGAGGAGAGAGTTTCCCTGTTACTCTAGACTGGATGCCATTGTGACGTGAGACTAAAGACGCCAGACTCCACCATATAGAGCAGGGTATGGAGCCAGTCAGGTGATATGGAGCCCCAGACAAAGACAGGCCCTGCAGCATCTTTGTCTGGTGCCAGGTTTTCTTTTAACCTTTTAGTTTTGTGAGTCAATCAATCTCCTTTTTACTGAATGCAGGTTGAGTCCTGTTTTTGTTTCTGGGTCACATATGCAGTAAGACATAGATACCAGTACAACATCTGCTCTACTCATTGGGTACTTTATTAGCTCTCACCCAGGGTTGTTAATAAACACCTGTGTAGGTGTTTTTATCTCTGCAGATAGAGTGTAAGTTCCTTGAGAGGATGATACTACCTTCTACCTTTTTATTTATTTATTTATTGTTGGTGACTGCTATGATGCCTTGTAGAGTACAGAGTAGTGAACATGTTATTTTATAGTGAATAAAGAAGAATGAGTTTAAGAACATTAATTTGCAATGTTTAAAATGGTCAGAGGAGGGAGGACATTTAGTTCATCAAATTTTCACTGGACGCTGTCCAGGGCCATAGACTAGGCTGTGCATTGGCGATGCAGAGGTGGTTAAAGTATGACTCCAGACATCAAATATACTACAGATCATGGGGGGAATCACAGTAACTTTTTAATAATTTTCAACGGATGTAGGATAATTCATAGCACTCTTATGCTGTATACACAGGAGGCGTATTTCATAGCTGAAGGTAGAAAGCAGATTGATTAAGCAAATTAAGGAGTATGATGAGTAAAAATCAAAAGTGGATTTGAATCCAAGTGAGTTTGATTAGAAATACAACTTCCCCCACTACACGAGTAAACCATTCTGAGTTTTTAATTTCTTGGTTTGTTTTCACCATTGCGTGCCTAAAAGTTGGCTTCAAAAAGTTCCCCTTTTTAGTAAATTGTAGAATTTTTATCTATGAGAATGCTTGTCTACGCAAGCATTTCCACATGTGTTTAAATCCTCTTGGCTAAAATTTATCTAATTGGAATAGTTAATAATGTTTGATGCATTACTCAACATACTGATGGCATCATTAGTTGAGAGCTGTGTCCTTAAATGAGGTGAGTTCTTCCCCTACTGAACATGTGCATCAGCTCTGCCCCCACAGGCTCACTTGTCCTGCATGTCATAAAAGGAGGAACTCATAAACTCTGGATGAAGACAGGATCCCTGGTATCTTGTGATTTCCTGGACTCATCTTCTGTCTATTTAACTTTTTCACTATATCCTACTCATATTAACACAAGGGTATTTTAATATTCTTCAGATGCCTGCCCCGGCTCTTCAATACTTACGTCATGTTCTTTTTAATTTGATGACAAGATTAGATGTTGTGTTCTTGTCTTCCCAGCCTCTAGCAAGCCTACTGACTTGACTTGGAAAATCTGTGGAGTTTTGACTCACTATCAGCTACAGGTATGAGCTTGGGTGTAATTTTAAAGGTATTTTCTATACCACTTAATAACTGCATCATCTTGGCAAGTAAGCTCTCTAGTTAAGGGAAGATATTTAATCTAAAAATGTCCAAGTTTAATCATATGTCTACAGTTGTTAAAATACAATATGTATGGGCTTAGGTTTTCAGTTTTAACATGAAAGAACTTGGAGCTGTCACTCTGTCCTTACAATAGAAAAAATCTGGAAAAACTGAAAACAACTTTATAAGAGCCATCAGAGAACTGAGGTTGCAAAGCAAACTACAGCACCAACATCTGGAGAGACAGGTTCATCTGGAGAGACACAGCCCAGAGGTGTTCACCTGGAACAGAAGCTGCTGGATCCCTGAGGGCTAGGAACACTGGCATGGTCACTGGAGGACCTGCGGGAGGCTTAGTGTCCAGCGTGGCGCTGCAGTCTTAGGGGAGCTCGCACTTTCCTGGACTTTACCTCCAGGAACCCACACTTCTTACAGTGAAAATCAGAGAAACATCGCCTCTTGGTCATTTCAGGGGGGAGATAAAAGTAATCGTTGTAAAACACATAACTTTTTCCATAAAAAAGACCTACACACTAGGGAAAAAGATGCTGTCAAAGCCATATCCCCGTGGGGGAAGGGTATTCCTCCAAAACCCACAAGCAATAACAGTCAGGACTTCAAGGAAATAGATGGAGAATATCAAGGCCATAGAAGGAAGAAAGGATAGTGGAGAGAAAAAAGCTATACCACTGGAGAGACACTTGTGAAAGCTACATCTCCAAGACACTGTCTCCTGAAACATTGATATGTAAAGGGAAGATGGTATACACTCCCCTCCTCCCCACCTCCCCACCACGCCCGTAATATAATAACAGTGAATTACAGACAGATGCACTGCAAGGCACAGGCTCTATCTGAGAGATGAAGAGTTGAATTTTCCACGTGGCATAACAATCCTCAAGGTGCGTCCATTGAGGGTAAAAATACATGTGACAAAACCTGATGGAACTGAAGAAAGAAATACACAAATCTACTGCTACAGTTGGAGACTTCAACACCCCACCTTTTTTAACTGATAGATTAAGCAGACAGAAAATCAGTAAAGATATGGTTGAACTGAAGAGCACTATCAATCAACACATACAAATTGACATATATAGAATACATTAGTAACAGTGGAATACACATTCTTTTCAAGTTCACAGGAAATATTCACCAATATAGACCATCTTGTGGTCTAAAACGCACTCCTTAACAAATTTAAAACAATAGACATCAAACAAAGTATGTGTTTACAACACAGTGGAATTAAACTAGAAATCAATAGCCAAAATATAGCTGGAAAACCCTCCAAATATATGACAATTAAACAATATATTTTTAAATAATTTACAAGTCGAAGAAGAAGTCTCAAGAAAAGTTAAAAACTATTTTTAACTAAAGGAAAATGCATCTTATATAATGGGCCGAGTGTGGTAGAAGTGGTTCTTAAAGGGATTTTATAGGATTGGATGCATACTTAGAAAAAAATCTACAATCAATAACATAAGCTTCCACCTAAGAAATGAAGAAAGAACAATGTAAGCCTATAGCCAGCCATAGAAAAGACATAACACACACTAGAGCACAAGTCAATGAAGCTGAAAACAAGGAAACGATGGAAAAAAATCGGCAACACAAAAAGCTGCCTGGTTCTCTGAAAAGATCAGTAAAATTGCAACACCTCAAGCCAGGTTAAATGAGAAAAAGTTTTTTTAAAAAGAGAGAGAGTGAGAAGGCAAAATTTAAAAATACCAGAAATCAAGTAAGATTTACTACTGATTCTATGGAGATTAAAATGATATTAAAGGAATACTATGTACAACTCTATGTCATACATTTGATAATTTAGATGAAATGGATCTATTCCTTAAAAGGCACAAACTACCAAAACCCATAAAAGGAAACCTATATAACTTGAGTAGTGCTATATCTGTTAAAGAGGTGGAATTAATAATTAATGACATTAAAAAAATCAGTCCCAAAAGGTTTCACTGGTGAATTCCATGAAATATTTAATGAAGAAGAAATACCAGTTCCCTTTGACCTCTTCCAGAAAGTAGCAGAGACACTTTCTCATTTTATGAAGCCAATTTCTATATGCTTTAGTGCTGATAATTTACTACTCAGGATGATTTTTAAAAGTTATTTCTGTAATAAGAAGATACATACTTTTTTATATTTTTTGAGACAAAAAATAATGATGAAATATTCTTTACACCAAACCCCCATGACACAAAATTTACCTACATAAGAAACCTGTACTTGTACCCCCGAACCTAAAATAAATGTTAAAAATTTTTTAAAAGTCAAAAGAATAAAAATAATTTGCTTAAAATAAAATCCTAATGGAGCTCTTACTGCAGTACTTGAACTCTATGAAAATAGTTAGGAGAGATACTAATGGGTATTTTTTTTAGTAAGAAAAAGAACATTTTTAAAAATCAGTTAATTCCAAAGTATCACAGCGTTCTGTTCTAAAAGCCAAGGGGACAGCAAACTCTGTTTTGGGGGTAAATTTTACTAAAATAGAACAATTAGAACTAACTTTTGATTTTGAGGAATACCACTAAGAATATCCCCAAGAAAACATTTCATCAGCATGGTGGTGGTCCAGTGCTTGGATTAGATTTTCCATGTAATTTGGGCTGTCTATAATCTCTTACTAACCATTATCATCAACATCAATCTTGTCGGCAGCATAGAGAAGTAAACTAAGTCAAGAACGATTTTCCTAAAGACTAATGGAAAGAAGACATACATTATTATGAATTTGGATAATTTGTTTTTCAATATGATATGGTTTGGCTGTGTCCCCACCCAAATGTCATCTCAAATTGTAATCCGCATGTGTGGACAGAGGAACTTGGTGAGAGGTGATTGGATCGTGGGGGTGGTTTCCCCCATGCTGTTCTCATGATAGTGAGGGCACTCTCACAAGATCTGGTTGTTTGATAAGTGTCTGGCATCTCCCGTTTGCTCTCTTTTTCTGCGGCCTTGTGAAGGAAGGTACTGGCATCTCCTTCACCCTCTGCCATGATTGTAAGTTTCCCGAGGCCTCCCCAACCATGTGGAATTATGAGTCCATTAAACTACTTTTCTTTATAAATTTCCCAGTCTTGGGCAGTTCTTTATAGCAGTGTGAAAATGGACTAATACACAATATAAAATATACCACAGCCTTAATATGGGGAAAAATATGTAACCTCAAATATAGGGTTAAAACATACCCTGTGCTAAACCTATCAGCTTATCAGAGTTGGAGTGAGAAAATATGACCTTTTTTCCCAGCCTACGATCCACCTTCACAAATCCAGATTCCGGTTTGAGCACCCACTCATCATTCAGCGGCTGGCATTTGAGATTCCCATCCCCTCCGGAGAGACTCATCCTGATGCCCACTCCATCCCACCCAATGGGACACCTAGCTCTCAACATAACCTCACAAACCCATCACCATATGAGAGGGCATTATAAGTAACAAGGCAGGGTTTTCTCCAAACACCAAGTGAAATGGCCAATCCATAACCTACTCACTGATGCAGAATTCTTAGAGTTGGAGAAACTAGCTCCAGGGAGGTCATAAGATGTGAAGGGAGGAGCACAGAGCTAGGAGATTGGAGGCCTGGGTGGATTCCCAATCTCAGAGTGCACACACCACGGTCCACCAGGGAAGTCATTTAATTTCTCTTACCTTAGCCCACTCAACCATAAAGTGGAGGGAATATGTAAAAGAGGACTGTAGATACCATAAAATAAAATACTATATATGAATGATCTATTACAGTGTGGTGTACATGGTAGCTGCCCAATAAATTAAAGAAGTGATTAGAATGAATGGGTTTTACTCATGATGTGATCATTTAGTTTTCATACCACTTCTGTTACTATATCTGATGGTGATGCTTGCTTTTACTTTGAGCACAAATCCACATTAACGGGCACAACAGCATGATAATAGTTACCTTTTTCCCAGCCCTTCACCTCTGCAGGGACTTCTCATGTTAGTTGACAGTGTGGGCGGCAGGTGTTCTTGTCTTCACCTTCTCTGTTGAAAGCTGTGCACCCCCCATGCTCTAACACTTTACTTTACTTGATCGTGTTTCCTGTTATCCCCCCAAATAGTTGTCTGTGTGTTTATTGCTTCCCCAACCAGAATGTATGTTTCATAAACAGCAGCTTTGTTCTCTTTTTTTCCTCTGTAAGCTGGAGCAGTGTGCAGCGTGATGCATGTGCTCAGTGCACGGCTGCTTAAATGAGAGGACACACACATCAACTCCCCTTATACAGAGGAGGAAAAGGAGCTTTGTAAAAGGACATGGCAGTAAACCTCCCGTCTGAGCCTGTAGCTCATGCCTTTGCATGTTTCAGCAAGAATGAAGAATATCAGTCAAGAGTTTCCACATCACGCCTGCCAGGGCTATACCCTGGGTATTTACAGAGTCGAGGACACTGAGACCAATATAACAGGTAGATTGACTGTGATAGAAAAGACGCCTCAAATACAATTTATTCAAGTCTAAGAAATGAAATCTCATTCAGTTTCAGGCCTCATCAACAGCAGGGAGAACCACAAATCACAAACTTCTTTTGCACTGGGAAAGGTGTTGCCATGGGAACAGGGCTGCTGGCCATTTGGCCATCTCACTCATCTCTAGAGGAAGGCAGGTGAGGAAGGTGAGAGTCACAGTCAGGTAGGAAGGCCTGCGATAAGATCCAAGGAAGATGGGGGATGTACTTCTACCATGTGTCATGTTGGTAGCAAATGCAGTAAGAATAAAATGTCACCATCTGATCCACATTACATCTGAATAGAACATCATCTAGCGGCGTTTCCTTGCCTCTATATGATTATAGGCTGTGTTGACATCAAAGAGATATAATAAAGCATATTGGCCTAACAGAACATATTATCATAGAATAAATAAAAGTCCTAAAAAATGAACAGGGGACAGATTGTAAGTGGCTGGGTTTATGCCCATGCTAAGATCACCAAAGCTTCTAACCTCTGGGAGATGGGAAATCATGAGTCTCATAGCCTGGCAGGCTATAGTCTAACAAGACTGGCTTCATGCATATATATTGATCTTTTGATGGTGGTCAAGCATCCCAAGCCATGGACCCTGTTGATATTAAAAATGTGATGACACCCAAAAAACAGTGTGAAATCAGTAGGAAAAAGATTTGAATAAAACGACCAACCCACAGATGTCCAGGGACAAGACCAAGACAATTCCTACCCTGACACAGTGACAAATAGGTGCTAAGTGGACATCATTCGTTTCCTATCTTGTTGGTCTTTCCTGTTGACAAATACCTGTTTAAAGCATGTTTTAATGTTTTCCTCAGTAGGCTCTGCGAAATAAAACCCAAATGGGAAACAGTTCTAGCATATGATCCTATGTAAATTAACAGCAGCAAAAAAGAGGGAAAGAAGAAAAGAAGGAAACCCTCCTTAACACCTCCTTTCACTCACGTTTCCTCATATTTTCCCTTAGTCCTTCAATAGAGCAGCAGTAGAAATACAATGATTTATGAATTCCACGGGGTGAATTCTTGAAGTAATAACACTTACCACCATGAAGTTCTCAGATTTCTTTTCCAAACAGGAACTCTGAGAGCAAAGAAAATTGCTGGACTCTCACGGCCAGGCATTTCATTGTATAGTCCTGGCAACGTGACCCTAATGAGAAGAAGTCCATACTTCAGTTTTGGTTTAGAATTCAGTGACAGTTTGATTGTGGGCTCAACCTCTTCTGCTTCCATTGGAATGTGAGTTACATGCTGAATTAATGAGCAAAAACATTAAGGCTTTGAGTCTGTTTTGCGCTTTCCTAGTTCCCTTCATTTTATTTTCACTGGTTTATTTTATTTTTGTATCTTGATCCAAAATTCATTTGCATATGATTTTTGTGCACACTAAGATCATCCTGAAGAACATGGACTTGTAAAACACTGGGAATCAATTACCCTCAGGAAATCCGTCGACTTGGTGAGGTGTGTCCTTTACAGTTAGTTACTATGAAATTCCCCTTTTCTAAAAATCCTGTCATTAAACCCCATGATGGCTTTCCGTTGCTCACTGCTGATCTTTTGCCTCTCAGTAAGCATGAAGAACACTTTCTCTTTCTTGCTGTGAGTTAATGCTATTTATATTTTAGAAATGCCAGATTCCTTCACAAGTCACTTGAGACTCGGTGGCAAGAATGAATTACCCTGAACTGTCTGTCTCTCTCCTGACAGGTCTGCCTGAAAGGCAGCTTGCCTGGAGCTGCATTCATTGTTATTTCACAATCTGAGAGCCAGCAAGAGACAGTTTTACAAATTTCTAACATAAGGCATAAAATGAAATTCAACAGAAACTAATCTTTCCTTTTTCTAAATTCCTGGCTTTGACCAAATTAGTAGGGAATGACATATTTTGAATCGCTTAGTGTACATACTATTGTATTTCTCTGCAATTTAATCTTATAATCATTGCTCCAGGGAGACATATATTAAAGTTTATTGGCAAATACATTTCCCTTGATTCCCTTTGTTCCAAAATAAAATGATGAATTAAGACTTAGCACATATATTAGCATTTAGTATTTGCTATAGTTTCCACTTTGCACATACAAATAGTGATCTGTACCCTGTGGCAACCAATTATAATACGTGTACTGATATTGTACAATTTTAAATTAGTAGAAAAACTGAGCTGATACTTTAAGCCAGCAAAAAAAAGTTTGTTTTCTAGATTAATGAAATAACAGGATAAAACCTGAAGTGAATATTAATGTGTGTTATCTATGATATTGTCTATCAATTAATATAAAATGCATGTTCTTTTATTTATTCTAGAAATAAATCTACTGTGTTATGATTATTTCTCTAATAATTATGTAACTAATGAACGATTAATCCATGACAATTGGTCCAGCATTTCTTCATGATTTTTTGTTCCCTGGGTAAACCAAAGGTAAACAAATACATGGCTGAGATGCCCAGAGTTCCTAAAGCTCCCTAGGGAATGTCAAAAATAAACAGATCTTCCCAAACATTAGCACTGATCTCCTTTTACATTGAAAGTTCATGTTTAAAGAGAGGGAATTCCCCACCCCAGTAATAGCAGTTGAATCAATAGAAACTGTGATTCTTGCCTCTATTTGTAGTTTTAAAATGAACTCTTGTCAGAATATTGTCCCCAATTAATAATGATAATGATAAAATCCTATCAGTAATAATGAATATTTATTTAGTTCTTTGACTTGTGTCACATGTCATATTAAGCACTATTTTTCATTATTTAATTCTCAGCAATCACATGGGGTTGGTAGCCCCATTTTACAAACAAAAACAAAACAAATAAAAATTCTGGAAGTTTTTAGAGAGGTTACATCACTTGTCACAAGGTGTGTAAATGGAGAATCTACGACTCAAACTAAGACATCCTTAACCCAGTGCCTCTGTCTTAAGCACCAAATATTTTCATTAATCATCAGTCTCATAATAAGAAAAATAATGATTTAATAAAGAAATTTCTGTTCAAATTCTCCTTTTAAGTACTTAGAGTAATAGGTTTCTTCATAATTAGTTGCAGCCTTGTATTTCAATCTCATTCTTTTGTCAAACTTACCTTCTGCTAAACCAAGTCCCAATGATTTCATTGTATAATTTTTCTCCAATGCATTTATTTCTCTTGCTCTCTATCAATAAATTATCATTCAGCCTACAAACATTTCTTGCTAAAATCTTTAAAAAAAAAATCTTTCTAAGCAGTCTCTCCAGAGTCTCTCTGCAAGCAGCACCGTTTTCCAACCCATTCTCTACTCTGCAATCATCGTAGTCTTTTCTCAACACAAATCTGATGTTGAATGCTTGCTTCAAAGACTCCATTGGTGTCCCATTGAACTTAGAATAGACATCAATAGGCCGGGCGTGGTGGCTCACACCTGTAATCCCAGCCCTTTGAGAGGCTGAAGTGGGTGGATCGCCCGAGGTCAGGAGCTCGAGACCAGCCTGACCAACATGGTGAAACCCCATCTCTACTAAAAATACACACACACACACACACACACACACACACAAAAGCTGGGCATGGTGGCACCTGTAATCTCAGCTACTCGGGAGGCTGAGACATGAGAACAGCTTGAACCAGAAGGTAGAGGTTGCAGTGAGCTGAGATCTTGCCATTGCACTCCAGCCTGGGAGACAGAGTGAAAGACTTCATCTCAAAAACAAACGAACAACAACAACAACAACAATTTTAAAAAAATACAGAACAACGTATTTAAGATCGCCTGCGAGTCTTGTGCAGTCTTCCCACCTAGAACCATTGTAAGTGTAAAGAGATGGAATTTGCAAAAACTTTCATATTGTACATCGCAAAAGTTCTAAACATTCTTTATAGGGTAGTGGATTAAAGCATGATATATTTTTTAAAGGAAGAAATAGTGAAACAATTTTGATATACCCATACATTATAGAATATTATGAAACCATTTAAAGTGATCATATATCTAGATTATATGAATGTTGATAAATGATTGATAGATGTGGATATAGACATCAACATAGATCGAGATAATTCCCATAAAACATAGATAAATGATGAGGTAAAAGAAAAAGGTCAATTTAAAAATACATAGAAGTACATCTAAAGATATAATTAATTATATATTAAACACATAATATATATTATATCAGACTATTAATGATCTCTATTTTAACAAATCCTAATTTTCTTTGAATTAATTAGTGCCTAGTAATAAATGGTTTTGCACTCATATTAACATCTCTAAATTTCCTAAGTCCAGTACAATTCATTTGCCTGCAACATTGCTTAGATAATATTAAGCAACTATATCTTCTAGCATATAAAATATTAATGTATGGTTATTTTACGTTAAAAACACTTAAAAATCAATTTTTTATCTTATAATTTTAGTTATAAATAAAGGTTAAACCAATCTGATTATAAGAAGTATTAAGAAACACCACTTCTGTTAAGAACTATCTTGGATTTATTAATAATATATCTCTGCACTAAAAATCTTGTATATATTTTTACATATGACTTCCACTATTTTCTTCTGCATTTCTTTCTTCCTTTAAAGTATAATTTTGCTTATAGTTCTATCTGATATTAAGTTCTGTAAGTATTTTTAAAAGTATATTCTTAGATACAATAAATAGAAAGATTATCTTCAGGTAACAAAAATACATATATATTTTATCTTAACATAGATTATAATTTAGAATTACAAATATATATTGGAGAAATATTTATCCAGAATAGTTCATTATTAAAAGTTATTGGTTTGAAAGAACTACTATACCTTAAACCACTTTTTTAAAATCTCCTCAATTTATGCCAAATTCTTGAAAGGAGAACTCATTATAAAGACTCAGAAAGTTTTGGACATAAGTATTATTTTCAAAACAAATGTTTTGATGGGTTAAATGTTAAATAATCAGAAACACATGGACTAAGTTTTCCTCTAAATACAAGGGGTGCAAAATTCAAGGAAAATATATTTGATGGAACTTATTTTCTTTGTCTAATCCAGAGTGTTTGAAAAGTATTTCAAATATTTTTCAGACACAGAGTGTTGAGCTCCACTTATATATTATGCATGCATGTATGTGCGTGTGTGTGTATATATATAGAATATATATATAATATAATACATATACATATATAGAAAATAAATGGCTAAAAAAAATAAATGGCTAAGAAAGAATAGTGTTATTGGTATTCAGGCATTGTTACAATCCTGGATCTATTCCTTCCCATTTATTTTAATGCTTTGGTGTCCTCTTATTAATTCAATCATTTGATTAGCCAATATTACAGACTTAATTTAAATGGATAAAACATGAACTAAAACTTACAATATGTTAATGCTTATTAATTTATTTCCTTAAATAACTAAGGTTGTCATAAATGTAAAATGATCAGGAAATCTTTGAATTGCACATTTCTGGGAAGTCAGGTGACCAGTATTTTCTAGTTAATTGGAAAATTTTGCTTTTTGACACATCTTGTAATTAAGACATTATAATTTAATTTTGGCATGCAGGTTAAAATAATCCAAAACAAAATGTCATTCTGGGGAGCCTTATACTTACAACAATCTTTACAATTAATAAGAAAATATTTGTGCTAACCTATGATGACTTAATAAGTTGTTTGTTTACTCTCCTTTATTTAAAAAAAAAATACTGTCTTACAGCAGAGGAAAGACAATAATGTACATTTGAAACATCTGAGAGAGAATTTAAGCCTGGCATGGTGGCTCATGCCTGTAATCCTAGCACTTTGGGAGGCTGAGGCAGGAAGATTACTTGAGCTTAAGAGTTCAAGACCAGACGGGGCAACATAGTAAGTCCCCATCTCTATTATGTTAATTTTGTTTTAATTTTATAAAAAGAAATCATGGAATTTAAAATTCAGGAAAAGGCATAAACCAAGGCACCATCAAGCAGCATTTCTCAGTTTGCAGAGTATGTTCCGTGAGGTACTGCTTCTGCAAGAGTATCTCGTACACACGCTATGCACACACACATACATGCACACACACCACACTATACCCCAAACACACTCACACAGGAGTGCACTTTCTGAGACAGGTAAACCTGGGAAATATTTCAGTTTGTATGCTTAGAGAAGCCTTTAAAGGTGCCGAAACCTCCCGCAGCAGTAAAAATAAAATGACGGAAAGACCAAAGTTGACGTTCAATTACATTTAATCTGCAATTTCCCAAACTCATTACACTTCAGAGAATTGTTCTCTTGAGTAATACCTAAGAATTATGCCCCAGGATTAGTTTTCTGACCCACTGTGGTACATGGTGCTTTATAATATTATAGATATTAATCACAGCTAACCCTTGAACAATGTGGGGACAGGAGCCCTGAGCAACGTCGCAGTCAGAAATCCACGTGAAAGTTGTGATTCCTCAAAAACACAGTAGCCTGCTCTTGGCCAGAAGCCTTACTGATAACATCAATAGTCAATTCACAGATATTTATGTATATATACTACATTCTTACAATAAAGTAAGCTAGAGGAAAAAAAGGTTATTAAGACAGTAATGAGGAGGAAAAACCATATTTACAATTCATTAAATGGAAGTGGGTCATCACAAAGGGCTTCATCCTCACCATCCTCTCATTGAGCAGGCTGAGGAGGAGGAGGAAGAGGAGGGGTTGGTCATGCTGCCTCAGGTGTGGCAGAGGTGGAAGAAAATTCTTTCAGTGACCTGTACAGTTTAAACCTATATTGTTCAACAATCAACTGTAATTTGCTTAATGCTTCACAGCAGCTGGCATAAAAGGGAGATCTGATTGATTGATTAAATTATATATCGGGTCAGTAAAGAAAAAAATAGCCTTTCTAAAATAGGAACTATGGTTTCTTGTAAATAATAAGGGGGAGGTTGCAGCTTGTTGGAACATTACCCTCCTGAATTAGAGTTGAATGAGTACCATAAGGTAAAAAATACATAGCTGGAATATTACAGTCAATTACTTTACAGATAATGTAGTCAATCTAACTTTTGGAAACTAATTACTCAAGAGAGCATTTTTCCTGTTTCTTTGCCTTGGTGAAATGTAGTACATGCTTATTCATAATATGTAAAGATCTGTATAAGTAGAAAAAATAAAACCACTTTAAGTTTCATCACATAGATGAGTATGTTGATATGCACCAATGAAAGTCATTCTGTGTGAATACAAATCAGGTACTAAGGAAGAAGAGTGTTATTAGTTGTTTATTCTCATTATTTCTATTTCCTCTCTTTCCAGTCAAGTTGAATCTACTGTAATCTGGCCCCTGTCATTTGAGTCTTTAAAAAAAGGGGGATGGGCCGGGCGCGGTGGCTCACGCCTGTAATCCCAGCACTTTGGGAGGCCGAGGCGGGCGGATCACAAGGTCAGAAGATGGTGACCATCCTGGCTAACACGGTGAAACCCTGTCTCTACTAAAAATACAAAAAAGTAGCCGGGCGTGGTGGCGGGCGCCTGTAGTCCCAGCTACTCGGAAGGCTGAGGCAGGAGAATGGAGTGACCCGGGAGGCGGAGCTTGCAGTGAGCCCAGATCGCGCCACTGCACTCCAGCCTGGGTGACAGAGTGAGACTCCGTCTAAACAAAAAAAAAGGCGGGGGAAGAGGCCATGCATCATGGCAGGACCGTGCATCTCAGAATTCCTTATTCAGAAAATCTGGAATAGGACGTAAGAATACGAATTTCTAACAAATTCTCAGGTGATACTCACGTTGCTGATTCAGGAGGAAAACTGTGGGAACCACTGCTGCGGGGGATTATTATTTCCATGGGGCTAGTATTGTACGTAATACATGAAGGAGGACATGGAAAAGGATCCACTGTGGCAAAGTAACCCCATTTCTATCTGTTTTGCATGTTACATGTTATCAAACACAGAACTCAAATAAGAGAAAAAATAAGTGTGTAGTTTTGCTGTGTAGAATAGGAAAAAAAGCTTTAAAAGTCAAGATTTGGGGATTTTGAAAATAAGCATTGTTGTTCATTTGTGATGCACATTAAGTGCTAAGACCATAATCCTTCGACATTTTTCTGGTATCATACGAAATTATGTCAATCGGATATTTAATTTGTGTCAAACTATGAACAGTATCAGTTGTCATTTAAAAACAAACAACTAGGAATTCCAGTCTGGACCAGATAATACAGACTCCCCTGTCTTCCTCTATCCCCTTTTCCTCCCAACTAAGTGCAGTTATAATTCCTGAAAATTATTCAACAGGCAACCACAGGCGACATTTGGGAGGTGGCAAGAGGGAGGCAAATTGATGTAGGACCCCAGGATTGATGGACCAATACGGTAGGAAGATATTTCATCTCCCCTCCTCCCAGTAGAACAAGAGGAACCAGCCTGGATGTTTTTGACCCTAACCTAGCAATGAAAGGTAACCCAGGTGGGCTCATTCCTTGCCAGGATCTAAAGGGAGCTTGTCCTGCAACAGCGGGGGAGCTGGCATAACAGGCAAAAAGGATTGATTAAGAGCCTTTCTAATAGTAAGTGGATAGGGAAAAAACACGCCTTCCTCACTAGGTCTGAGAAACCTCCTCCCACAGAGATCTACTGAGTTCTCAGTCATTGTTATTATCATGGATTCATTCCTTTCTATTTATTTCAATGCTTTGGTGTCCTCTTATTAATTCAATCATTTATGAGGTGAATGACCAACTCTTTACATTAAAATCCTTCTAGTCATTTTTCTGTGCATATGAAACTCACTTCAAATTTAATGACATAAGGAGGTTGAAAGTAAAGAATAGGAGAAGATATCTCATGTAAATGTTAATCATTACAGAATAGAATTTACTATATTAGTATGTGAAAAATAGACTTCAAAGCAAGGAAAATCACTAGATGCAAAGAGAGATGTTACATAACTATAAAATAATCAGTCCACAGTGAAGACATAGGAATTCCAAATGTGTGCACACCAAACAGTAGAACCACAAAATATATGAATCAAAGCCTGATAGAGCTGAAGCAGGAAATAGACAATTCCACAATCATAGTTGGGATGTAAAAACCTCTATGTAAGTAACTGACAGAACTTCTAGAGAAGAAATCAGCATTGATACGGACAAACTCTACACCACCAACAACCAACTGTGTCTAATTGAAGTGTATTGAACATCCAAAAAACAACAGCAGAATATACACTTTTTTAAGGGCTTATGGAGCATTAGCCAAAATAGACTATAACCTAGGCCATACAGAAATCTTCACCTATTTAAATAATTGAAGTCATACAGAATATATACTCTGACCATAACAGAATGAAACCAGAAGTCATTAAATGGAATACAACAGGAAAATCTCTAGAGGCATGAAAATTTTAAAAACACATTTATAAATAATCATAGGTCAAGGAGGAAGTCTCAAAGGAAATAAAAATATAAAGAGCTGAATAAAGCCTTTATAAACACTAAAGAAATAAAAAGAAAGAGAGCACAAATCACCAATATTAGGAATACAATATGGGCTATCATGGCAGATCTAACAGCCATTAAAAGGATAATAAGTGAATACTACAAGCAAGTTTCTGCTCAGAAATTCAGCAGCTTAAAAGAAATGTACCAATTCTTTAAAACCAAAGCTACTAAAACAATCACACTGATGTAGACAATCTGAATTGGCCTGGGACTATCAAGGAAATTGAATTTAAAATGTATATGCTCTCAAGAAAGAAATTTCCAAGCACATATTCTTTCATTCTATCTAATATTTGAAGAGTGATTAATACCAGTTGTACATATTTTTCTAGAGAAATTAAAAAGAGATTAATTACTAACCTACTTTATAAAGCTAATAAGTTTTTATGTCAAAACAAGATGTGGTAAAAAAAAATAAAATTACAGACCAACAATTTTTATGAACTTTGAGTCAAAAATGTTCACCAATTAGTGAGAAATTAAATCCAACAGTGTATAGAAAATATTATATATTATAATCAAATGTGATTTATTCCAGGTGTACAAGGCTTATTCAAGATTCTACAATGCAATTTATCATATCAACAGGAAGAAGAAGAAAATCAGATGATCATATCAATTGATTCAGTAAAAATTACTATAATTCTACACCTCTTCTTGATCAAACTCTCAGCATATTAGGGAATACAGAGGGATTTCTTCAACTTGATAATGAACATTTACAAAACAAAAAACAACAACAAAAAGTTTACAGATAACATTATACTAATGATGAAAGGCTGAATGTTTCCCCCTAGAACTGGGTACAAAGCAAGAATGTCTTCTCATGACTCTTACCTGACACAGTAATGGGGATGTATGGCACTGAAACAAGTAAATAATAAAATAAGACAAAGAAAAAAAACAAATTGAAAAGGAAGATATCAAACACTTCCAATTTTCAGATGCTATGATTTCTATATGGAAAATCCCAAGGTATCTACCAAAAGAAAAATCCTAGACTAATTGAGTTTGGTAAAGTTTCAAGATACAAGGTCAACACAAGTAAATCAGCAACATTTCTTTATATTAGTAGTAAACATGAGAATATAACAATTAAAAACAGAGTATCATTTACAATCACTCCAAAGGAAATAAAATACTTAACAAAACATATACTGACTCTACAGACTGAACATTACCAAAAGCTGATGAAAGAAATAAAAGGAGACATAAATAAATGGAAGAAATATCATGTTCATGGGCTTCAAAAGTCAACAGTAAAGATGCCATTTTTTCCTAAATTGATCTACAGGTTCAGTGCAATTCCTTCCGAATCTCACCAGGGTTTTTGGTAGACATAAACAAGTTTATTCTAAAATTTGTATGGAAAGGCACAGGTCCTGGAATAACTAAAGCAACCTTACAAAAAAAAGAATAATGTAAGAAGAATCACTCTATCTTATATTAAGGTTTATTATGAAGCTACAATAATCCATACAGTGTGGTTTTGACAAAGCAAAGCAAAGACCTATAGGTCTTTGCTTCCCATAAGTTGGGAAGGAATAGAATAGAGAACCCAAATATCCCCACACGAATGTGATCAAATGATTTTTAGAAAAAGTGCAAAAGCTATTCAGTGGTAGAATGATAGCATTTTCAATAGATGATGCTGGAACAACTGGACATCCATAAGCCAAAAGTAATGAACCTCAACCTGAACTTCACATCTTAAAAAAAATAACTTAAAATGTATTGCATACATTAGTATAAAACCATAAAACTTTCAGAAAAATACATACAGATAGAGGACAATTTTCAGGAGCAAAAACTAGGCAAAGAGTTATTATAACTGAAAGCAAAAGCATGAACCATAAGGAAAAAATTGATAACTTGGAGTTCAACACGATTAAAAACTTTTTTTTTGTCTGTGAAAGTCCATGTGAAGAGAATGAGAAGACAAGCTACAGCCTAGAGAAAGTATTTTCAAACCACATAGCTAGCAAAGGGCAAAGGCTAGTAAGTAGAATATATAAAGAACTCTCAAAATTCAATAGTAATGAAGAATCCAGTTTGAAAATGGGCAAAGACGGGAAGAGAAATTCCAGTAACAAAGACATACATATGGCAAATAAACACATGGAAAGATTTTCAACATCACTAGCCATTAGAAAAATGCCAGTTAAGACCACATGAGATACAATTACACATCTATTAGACTAGCTAAAATTAAAAATAATGACAATACCAAATGCTGATGAGGAAGTGCAGAAACTGAATCACTCGTGCATTATGGTCAGCCCTGTGAAGTGGCCCAACCACTCTGAAATTGTTTTGCAATTTTTTTTTATAAAACTAACAAGCAATTACTATAGGACCCAGTAAATTTACTCTTGGGTAGATACCCCAGACAAATGAAAACTTATTTTCACAGATAAAACAGCATACATATGTACCCAGAAACTTTATTTATAATAGCCATAAACTGGAAACCTCTCAGATGTAGTTGAAGACATGAATAAACTCCCACATACACACTATGGGATACCGCTGAGCAGTGCAAAGCAACAACCTGGATATGTCTCTGGGGAATTATGCGGAATAAGTGGAAAAAGCCAATTCCAAAATGTTACACCCTATATTATTGTAACACCTTTGAAATGACAAAATTTTAGAAATGAAGAAGAGACTAGTGGTTGCTAAGGGGTTGGAATCCATGGGAAGATACAGGAGGGTGTGGCTAAAAGGCAATATGAGGATGGTTGTGTTGATGGAACCATTCGGCATCTGGACTGTGGTGGCGGATGACAAAATCTACAATGTGATAAGATCATATAGAACTAAACACACACCCCACACATGCAAATGAGTTCAAGTTAAGCTTGGATATTCTGAATAAGATGGATAGAGTCTATCAATGTCGATATCCTAGTTGTAATATTGCACCATCATTTTGTAAAATGTTAACAATGGAGAAGGTATTTCTTACAACTGCAGGTGAATCTATAATGATCTCAGGAAAAAATTTCCATTAAAAAATACCAACAACATGACAGACTAAGCCAAAAGTATTTTTCAGGAGGCATGTCTGCAGTGGAAACTCAATTGTTCTGAACCCAAGAAATGTACAGGAGGTGGAAACAGATGTGTACCCAACATCAGCCTATAAACACAAAACCTAACCTGAAAGGCTAAGAGCTTTATTCAAGCGCTATTCAATCAGCCTCCCAACCTCAGTTGCTATGCCGTACACATTGTTCTAATTAGAGGGTCATTTCCTTTGCACAGATGTTTTCAATTTCAACAGACCACAGTGACGTACAGAGCAACAAAACAGTCCTTCTCATCTTCAGTGACTACATCTCTCCCCTAAGCCACAAGAGTTAAATCTTTGGACAGTCTTTATGAATGCGTTCTGAATAGAAAACACCCCTAACAAAAGGATAACATATTGCACTAGAAAAAAACGATTTTATCCTACGGACTAAATAGTAAGCCACTCATTTTGAACACACTTCTTATAAAATAAAACCTAAGAACAGTAAGTACAAAATGAGCAAAATTGACTAAACTTTGAACTGGACCAATCAATTTTATAACATATATAAAATGTAAGTGTTATCCTTGCCTTTATTTCTGTCATTATAGTTACTTATGTGTTATATAAATATTGACTTTTTTTCTTATAAAAGTGTGCATTCAATTAAATGTAGAGAGGAAAAAAAGTGCGGAGAAGGAAATAAAACCCAATCACAGTTCTATCACACAAAACTAACCTCTACTTTTATTGTGCTTTAGTTCCTTGAAGCATTGATTTTATTCATATATGTATGCATTTAACTGAGGTACACCTACATGTAGGACATGAATCATAAAGTCACACTTGATGAACTTTTGTGGACATTTAATCTGTGACCCACATCATGACACAAGACACCTCCAGCCTTCCTCATACCACCTCCCAGCTAATGAAGACCCTCAACTCAGGTGACTGCTTTTCTGACCTCAAGACAATAGAAGAGCTTCCTGTTTTGGAATTTCAAATAACTGAAATGTGTGCTTTTGTGTCTGGCTGTATTATCCCAAGATTAAGTTAGTGAGGCTCATTCAGTTGCACGTAACAGCAGTCTGTTCTTGTCCCCCACTGTGGTATATTTCACAGCAGTTTATTTATTCTTCTACTGGTCATGGATATTTAGATTATTTCTACTGTGGGACTATTATGAACAGTGCTGCTTTAAATGTTATGTATTTTGGCAGTCATAGGCACGCACGTCTACAGGGTACATACCTGGAGATGAGATTACTGAAGATGACGGTGTGCATATGTTGGCTTCTAGTTGATGCTGCTAATTTATGGGCTCTCCAATTGTTTCTTGTGCTCACTGACATTGGTTACTGTGTGTCCTTTTAATCTTAGTCAGTTTGGTAGTAACATAAAATAACAACATATTGAATGCAGAATTGTGTACCTTATGCCGTACAGTTAACGTTACATTATCCCCATGAAATCCTAGTTCTGACCTGCAGTTATAATCACTACAAGATTGACTTTCTGCAAAAACAAGAACAGCCTCTAGGAAAGGTTCACAAAACCTGCATAAAACGATAACATATTCCAAAATTCTAAAGTTGCATTTAATACCACAGTTTGTGTGTGTGAGCGTGTGTGTGTGTATTAAAAATAATGTGTGTATTCTGTGAAAAAATTGATTTTATCAAAACAATTACCATGATTTGGGGGTGAGAGGAGCTTTACTTACCAAACAGCTTTCAAAATAATGACAACACTGTACTCAAATTAGAATTTCAGGATTCATATCATAAAGTATATAAGGTTATAAAAATATAAGCTCCTTCAAGAAAAACATTTTTAATTATTTTTTGGTTCATTTTGTTTTCTTTTTAACTCTAGTGCTGTGGGAGCATTAATGATTTGAGACTAGAATTAGTATTCTGTCATGCAAATTTTAAGTATTTCTTCCTGTAAAACTTGCCAGCAACTAAAATTTCATCTTCAATATACTATATTAAAAATTATATTTATATCATTTATATTATGCAGGCAACATTGTATTGCTAATGTTTTAACTTCCTTCTTTCGATGTTTATTTTTTGCTATCTTAGAGATTTCTCCTTTTTGTTTCTTTTGTGTGGTTTTGTTTTTATTCACATATAACACATTTTCTCTCTTGCTAAATAGCTCTTACATATTGAAGAGAATACAAAGATAGATATAGAAAAATTGACTCTAATCTGCAGGGATATATTTCTTCAAATCTTTCTTCTGGGCAAAGGTGTAGATATAAATATACATTTTTATTAGCTTGCAAATTTCAAAACAGTCTTATTCAATTACATAATCTATGCAGGAGAGTAACTGAGCAATAAATACTACAGTTTAGTAGCTTATGCTGTGGTTCTACTCATCATAAAAGGTGCTGGTAATTAACTTTAAAGCCTTCAGTGGTCTGGGACCTGGCTACCTTTGAGTTGTATTTCATTTCATCCCCTCTGCAGAGTTATGACTGAGTGAACTTGATCTCAGATTCTGTTCCCAACTCTGAGTGTTGCAGAATTAGTTCCAGTTGCCTGCCTTCCCTTTGATATTCACTTGACTCAGAGAAGAGGCCAGATCTACTTTTTCACTCATCTGGGGGGATTAAAAAACCACTACTCTATTCCAGAAGATTCCTGACGGTAATAATCTTTTACCTCTAGTTATTGCTCACTGTGCTTTTTGTGAAAACTCTTTGAATTGTTTTAACCCAGTCACTTACCCACTTCTCTTTTGTTGGCAGCGGATAGAGGGCAGAAAGAGGAAACACTGGAAGTGCAATCCATTATTTTGTATCCTGGCGATTTTATAAATAATATATTTTTTAAAAAATCAATTGTTTAATATTTATTAGCTCAACCAAATGCAATATTTTTGTATGAAATAAAAGAAAAACTGAAATCATTCATCTAGATATTTTGTTTAAGGTAGCCAGGTCTCAGACCACTGAATGCTTTAAAGTTAATCACCAGCACCATTTCTGATGAGTAGAACCACAGCATAAGCTAGTAAACTGTAGTATTTATTGCTCAGTTACTCTCCGGCTTAGATTATCTAACTGAATCAGACAGTTCTGAAATTTGCAAAACTTAAAATAAATATTTTAAGGTGGGGAAAACATATTCTGTATGCTCCCACAAATGCAACCGCCAAGGAAACTGACACAGAAAAATAAACAGAATTATTTCAGTTTCTCTCAGGCACATGATGTTATCACGTAAAAAGATTTTTGAGTTCTTGGACACTTGGATAACGGTATATTTTCATAGGTGTTAAGATGAAATATTCATGATATATCAAACCCAAAATGCCTAGTACTGAATGAGTCACCTTCTGTTCCAAAACAGCTTTTCCTTGGATTATTTGCATTTCTGTCAACGGCCCTGTAATATCTTGGGGTAGCACTGCAGTTCTCCTGAGGAGTGAATGTCCATCAGCAGCAGAAAGTGCACTTGCTCCCTGAAAGGGCACCGGGATCCTTGGAACAGGCTCCATGTTAGCGCTGGCAAAAGGATGAATGCAGCATTCCGTGAGGAATATTTTTCTGGAGAGTGGACTAAATGATGAATGGTGGTCTGGGCAAGCTTCGGACTAATTGGAGCAAGGAGAATGGAACTTAGTGTCTGGGATGTCTTTCTCTGAGCTCTTACCATTAGTGCACATCAGCAATAATTTGTAGGACTCTTCTTTCTGAAAGGGAGAACTGACAAAATTGATACAGAGCCATAGTCCTATGGTTCCTGCAGTTTTAGCCAAGTTTCTGACATAAGGACTTTCATTCAGGGAACCAGACAGTGTCAAATGGAATACAAGATGGGGGATGGATGTCTAGAATAAAACAGAAGCCCATTGATTGGTCAGAGCGTGAATAGATGCTAAATAAGACAAAGCTGTATCTGAAACATACAGAAAAAATTACCTATTCTTAAAATAAAAGTTGGCTGTCAATGCTTGGGTAGGAGACTATAAGCCCAATTATGATGAATATTTCATATTAGAATGTATATCCTTGGAGGGAGTGAAGCATTCTAGAAAAATATATAGCCAAGTCTAATTAAGACAAAGGCAGTAGAAATGAAGGAGGATGGTGGAGTTAAGAAATATTTAGATTGAAAAACAAAGAAAAGTTTGAAAGTGATTGGGCACCTTGCTTTAGAGAATGGTAACGAATCTCTTTCTTGAATGGTCAAATTGATGTTAAATTATAACCTACATTTCACCATCAGTGCCATGAGTATTAAAATGTCAAGTAAAGAAGATGTCATTGTGTGAAGATGCTTGTCTTTGTAGACACATTTTGGGTGGGATAGTTTGAGAATCAAATAAACATTTTAAGAGTCACAATTAATTTTGTAATTTTAGCACATAGTTTATTAGAGTGGAGGACTAGGTTTTTTTTTTAACTTGTATCCATGACTTTCAGTAAAGTGGTAAAGAATTATTGCTTGTAGAAAGGAAACATGAATGTTTCAGCATCATTAGTGGTTAAGAAAGTAGTAACAGCTACCTCATCAAAATATACAGATGGCAGATAAAATCATGAAAATATACTACCATTATACGTAACTAGGAAACTACAAATCAAAACAACTATGAGATACCACTACACACCTATTAAAATGGCAAAGTCCGGAACACTGACAACACCAAATGCTGGTGAGGATGTGGAGCAACAGGAACTCATCCATTGCAGGTGGGAATGCAAAATGTTGCAGTCACTGTGGAAGACAGTTTGGCAGTTTCTTACAAAACTAAACATACTCTTAGTATATGATCCAGCAATTGCACTCCTTGGTATTTACCCAAATAAGTTAAAAACTTAAGTTCCCACAAAACCTTGAACATGAATGCTTATAGCAGTTTTTTTTTTCGTAATTGCTAGAACTTGGAAACACCCAGCTGTTCTTCAGTAGGCGAATAAACCTTGCTACATCCAGACAATAGAATAGTATTTAGCACTAAATATAAATTAGCTATCAAACCATGAAAATACATGGAGAAGACTTAAATGCATATGACTAAGTGACAGAAAAAGCTCAACTGGAAAGGCTACATAATTTATGATTCTGACTATATGACATTCTGGGGAAGGCAAAACTTGAAGACAGTAAAACGTAAGTGGTTCAAAGGGTTGGGGGAAGAAAAGCATGAATAGGAGAGCCACAGAGGAGTTTTAGGGCAGTGAAAAATACTCTGTATGGTACTGCAATGATGGTAAAAAGTCATTATACATTTGTTAAAACCCATAGAATGTATAACACCAACAGTGCACCCTCATGTAAGCCATAGTCCTTGGGCGGCAATGGCAGGTCAATGTAAAGTCACTGATTGCAACAAATGTACTACTCTGGTTCAGGATTTTGATAGTGGAAGAGGTTATATATGTATTCAGGGTCAAGGGGCATAGAAAAACTCTCTTTACCTTCTGCTCAATTTTGCCATGAACCTCAAACTTCTCTAAAAATAAAGTCTATTTTTTAAAAAAGCACAAGTTATATAAAAATATTCATGCTGTTATTAAATAGCAGTACATGAAATAGTGTTCTCTTTATTCACAGTTTGTGAATCTTTCTTGCATCTGAGTAACCTATCATGCACAAGTTTAAAAATTGAACTTGTAAAATATTTTCAGTAAGTTTCTAGAATAATCTTGTTCCCAAATTATTAAAGATTTTATCCACTTCGTATTGCATAGCTAAAACTGCATTCAGTTTGTTTTATTTTCAAAAGACCGCACTAGTTCTGAAAAGCCCAGGCAGTGTAACCTCAAACAATAGTTGGTGATTGCTTACCTGAACGTGGAGAGTATTAGACATCTATTTTAGACCTTTAACCTCGAAGGTCTGTTCTCCATATGACATCAAAATGTAACTCTCATTAGGGATAAGATTAAGGTGGTTTGAGGTACATGGAGGAGGTTGAAAACACACACACACACAGAAATTGTTAAATTTTATTTTAAAAGTGATTTATTTTTTACATCATAATTTATTATGGTTTCTAATTCATCTCTAATTCTGTGGATTAATATGATCCATAAAGCCTCAGTGCCTTCTGAAAGCTGCAGGGAGAGCTAGCCTTGCCCCAGTGGGTGACGAGTTTATAATCCGTATTTGATGTATTTCCGGCAAAGAGCTGAAGATGTTCACATGCAGCTCCCTTTAAGATGTCTGGATGACACAGAGCCCATGGTATAATAATACACATGCCCATCTTGTTAACGAGATATCTGAATGAGCAGAGGATTTAGCAGGAGACTGTAGGATGAGTTTCCGAGTTAGGGCACACAGACACACAATACACATTTTTTAGGTATGCAGCCCTCTGCCATTTATACATGTACAGGCTGTTTTCCTAATTGGTCTTTGTTGCTTAAAATTGGCCTAAGTTCTCATCCTCAAAATATATTAGAGGCTGGGCATGGTGGCTCATGCCTGTAATCCCAGCACTTTGGGAGACCAAGGTGGGAGGTTTGCTTAAGTCCAGGAGTTTGAGACCAGCTTGAGCAACATAGACCCCTTCTCCATAAAAAACTAAACAACAATAGCCACCAGTGAGGAAGACTTGGTATTGCTTGATTTTTTTTAAGTCCCAAGCTAGAGCTTGTAATATTATTGTATTTTGGGGGCATTATATTTGAATTTCATTGACTATTAATTATCCCAAGACTCTTAGTAAGAGGTCCATGGGTTTTTTAACCCATTTTTGTTTTTCTATAAAATTTCTCTTCTGGCTTTCTGCATCCTTTTCTACTAGCTTGTTCTGTTTTTGTTTTCCAAAAGTGTAAAAACGTGTTCTTCATAGTCATGTCTTTAGTATATCTAGAATTGATTTTTTTGGCAAGGTGTAAAATAGATGTCTAATACTCTCCACATTCAGGTAAGCAATCACCAGCTATGGTTGAGTAGCTCATGTTTGCCTGGTGATCTTCACGGCCAACAGGCCCAGGCCTCCCTTTATGCATTGGTCTATTTCTGGCCTCTCTGTTTTTTATAATGGTGTATTTTTCTATCCTTTCATCCTTTCATTTTTCTAATATTGACAGCTTTCTTACAATTCTCCATACCTGATTTGATGAAGTACCCCCTCCGATACCCCAACCTGATTCTTCTTCAAGGCTACTTTCACCTTTGTTTCCCGCACAAATTGATAAACAGATCATAAAATTCATTTTTAAACAGCTAGAATTTTAGTCGAAATTACATTGACTTTATGGGACAATTTGGAAATAACTGAAGTTTATACAGAATTAAATTTATATAAGTCCAGGACAAACTTATCCATAGACTGGGTATTTTCAAGGATTATTTTTTGTTTAAAATAATTTTATAGTATCCTCCATAAATACCTCACACTTTTTAAAAATAATTTACTTTTAAATATTTAATATATTTAGACTTTACTAAAAATATATTCTTAAAATTTTTATTTTGTATTTTTTGTTGCCAACACTGTTAATTTTTCATTTCTATGACTTAAAACACTGTCTGTGATTTACTAATTCTAATTCTATGTTTTCATTTTAGGATAAAACTATCATTTTATCCACAAGTAATGATCTATTTGTATTTTCCTTTTTAAACCTTATAATTTTGATTTCTTATAACAATCTTATACTAGTTAAGACATCCAGGAAAATGTTGCATAGAAAAGCAAACACCCTTGTCTTGCTCCTGATTTAAAGGAAACATTTACATTTTCACCATCAAGCATGAGGATTGCTATAAATTTTGTTTTGTAAACAGTATTCATTGGATTAAAGAAGCTCTCTTCCATTCTCAATTTGTAAATATTTTTAACATGTGTTCAATTCTATCCGATATTTTTCTGCATTAATAAGATGATCATTTCACTTATTTTTGTCAGTTTATGGACATTGTAAATTACATTGATCATTTTTACACCAAAAAACTTGCTGGAGTGATCCTGCATCGTTTTTGATACATTTGTGAGATTAGACATCCATTTCCCTTCCTTATATTTATTTCTTCTGTTTGTGATAGCAAAGCAAAATTTGTCTATAAAATATTTTTAAAATATTTTCTTTCTTTACATCTTCTCGAAAGAGTTCTGTAAGAGAAATTATATTTACTATATGTTGGGTAGACTTTGCAAAACTCCCTGAGATTTTTTTTTTTAGTGCAAATATTGTGAATGACTGAGATAATTTTTTAATGATCCTGGATTATCCATGCTTTTATTTTTTTCTTGAGATAGCATTTTGTAAGAACAATTTTTAATGTCCAATTGTTTGCTTATTTTATTCTTATTACTTCCTAACTACATTGTTTTTGTGTTCTGCAAGATGCAGTTTTTTCTAATTTATTTTAGATGTGTCTATTGTTAAAGAGCATATGGCTGGAAATTTTTAATCCAGCTTGATAATCTTTGTTTTTAACTGAATGAGTCCATTCTTTCCTCTTTATTGTGGTTACTGTATGTTTAGATGTATTTCTGCCATCTCCTGACAGCTTTTTCTACATTTTGCTTTTCTTTATCCAGCCATTATATGAATCGGTTGAGTTCCTTTCTCAACCTGGTTCCATTTTTTCCTCTAATATTTTAAAAGTTATAAATTCTATTTGTGTAAGGGCACCACAGAAATTTTAACGTGTCATTTTACTTAATGAAATCCAAACCTAAGCACAATTATTACCACACTCTCGAATAAGACGAGAACCTTAAGTTACTTTAACTGTGATCACTGTTTTCAAGCTATATATTTTCAACTAGTTTGGTTTTATCATTGTAACATCATAAATTAGACATCATTGTATTGCTGTTATACTAGCAATGCATTTTTAATGATTTACATACATTCTTAACTTCTCCCTGCATTCATATTTGGAATAATTTTGCTTTTTCCCAAAGTGTATTCTCTAAAATATTCTTTAGTGAGGGTGTGTTGGTAGGAAACTGAGTTTGTGTTTGAAGGACAATGCATTTATTTTGTTCAGTCTTGAATATAAAACTCTAAGTTAATGGTTTTCGTTTTTTAGCATTTTGAAGGGACGATTCCACTGCATACTGGCCTTGGCTGTCATTGATGAGGGGTCTTCTACGTGGCTCATTGCCAGTCCTCTGCGGGCAACTGGTCTTTAGAATATTCTGCAATGTTGCATGCCATCATAGGCTTTGGTGCTGGCTGGTCTCACTATGAGGTTTTATAGATAGTTCATCAGGCTCACTGAATTTGCATTTCAAAAATGTTTTGCAGTGGTGTCTTTGAATCTCGCAGCTTCCTCATGCTCTTGATTCCCTCCTTTTGATGTCCAATTTGACGTATGTTAAATATTCTCAGTCTATCATGCATGACTCTGCATCTTGTTTTTATAATTTCTGCCTCTTCGTTTTTATGGTCTACACTCTGGGAAGTTTTTTTTCAGATATAGTCACCAGTTCACTAACGTTGCTTAAATTTATACATACACCTGGTTTTAAAGTGAATTGATACAGTCTCTTTTTAAACTCAGTGATTTCCTATTTGTAAAATTTTTCTAACTTCTTTTTCAAGTCTGTCATTTTAGTAGCATCTTACTCTTTGCCCACATTTTTATTTTTTAGCATTTATGTATTTATGTATTTATTTATTTTTGTTTTTTGAGACAGAGTCTCTCTCTGTCACCCAGGCTAGAGTGCAATGGCCTGATCTCAGCTCACTGCAACCTCCGCCTCCCAGGTTCAAGCGTTTCTCCTACCTCAGCCCCCTGATTAACTGAGATTATAGGCATGTGCCATCACACCCGGCTAATTTTTTTCAAATTTTTAGTAGAGACGAGGTTTCACCATGTGGCCAGGCTGGTCTTGAACTCCTGACCTCAAGCGATCTGCCTGCCTCGACCTCCCAAAGTACTGGGATTACAGGCATGAGCCCCCTCGCCTGGCCTTGCCCACATTTTTAACATCCACACTTTCGTACCTTCTGATGTGCCTTTGGTATATTTATATCACAAATTTAAAATATTCTCAGTTTTTGGATGACTGATACTTTGCATCTCTTCATGTAGCTTGGAGGTCCTTCCATCAGGATTGAATTTGTGACTGCTGTTTCGAGGTGTCTATGCTATACACAGTTCTAAACCAGAACTATATTGCCTTGCATTTTCCATTTATCCACACACATGATGTGAATTCTAACTCCTCCCGCAACTGAATCCCAGCTTGAGGTCATGGGCTTTTCCTCTGTGCCACTCAGAGCCAAGACTAAGAGAAGCAAGCCTCCCAAAAGTCTCCATTTTCATTTCCCCTGTTGTTTATCCACTCAAGATGTCACTTTTCAGGTGTCTCATATGTAATTGCTACAGGGGATGGTGGCGGGGTGGCACTGAACTCACTGCCCTTGGACATAAACCCTAGGCCATGTCTCCTACCCTGGCCTCTCCCGTGCTGTTGGGTGACTGATGATACTTTCATCAGCAGATCTTGGCCTCAGTGCCTTCTACCTCTTGAAATTCACGGTCTCTCAACATTGTTGAGAAGACTGAAGACTGTTCTTACTACCTGCCAACAGCGTGATATCTTAGAAGAGATCTTTTTAAAATACAATTCATTATATTCACCTTTCTTTTTCAAATACATTTCTTTTTCCCTCCCTTCCTGCCTTTCTTTTTCTCATTTATACATATACATAATGCACAATTATATACTCAATATTTAAGTATGTACTTTCTTTGAATCTTTCAATGAACTTAAAATAAATTCAGCACATTTCAATAACATCCAGTGACATTTTTGTTAAATTCTCCTAAATATGATTTTTGCAGACCATAGTTATTGTGTGAAACAATATATTCATTACGCACATCTGGATTTCATATTTCCTTATCCACTTTTCAAAAAAATTTCTCCGGCACAAAATAGAAATGACAGTAGCTATTGCATGTGTTGAAATTACTACATGAACACTCAAAGATCTTTGCAATTATTATCACAGTAGATTATGATTTTACATTAAATTTACATCAAAATAATCTAGAAACTGTGTTCTCGATTATATTAGATAATAGCACCAGAGTATATATTAATAATAACATTAATATCAATAATCAGCACCAGAGTATATATTCTATTGCATGTGTTTCTCCACTGCATGCACGTACAAGCTTATGCTTTATCTAATGTACTTCTGTTATTCTAGACTATATGGATATAAAACTTTCATTTTTTTTACGATTGCTGAAGCATTCTAACCATGCCAAAAATGCAGAAAATAATATCATACATGCTTATGTGTCACCCACTAAGATTGAACACTTGCCAACAGTTTGTGTCATTTCTCTCATGTGTGTGAAAACAGCCTCTTTCTGTCCATCTGTGTTTCTCTGTCTTTACGTCTTTTAACAAATAAACCTGAAAATATACAATTAAAGCTTCACTTGATCTTTTCATTCCTCATAATACCCCAAATAACCATCATTTTGAATTATATTTTTACCCCTACTCTATTTGTTTCTATACTTCTAAAACACAAATAAGCATCCATAGCTAATACACAATGCAGCTTCAAAACATTTCTATACATTGTGTTATCCTGTTATACTATTTTGCAGCTTTGTTTTCCTCACTAAACTTCACATTTCTGAGACTTAGATATATAAATATCGACTCAGTTCACTCATTTTAGCTGCTGTATGATATACCGCTATAAGAATAAACCAGGTAATTATGTATTCACCAAGTGACAGTTAAATAAACCAGGTAATTATGTATTCACATTCTAAGTGACAGTTATGTTTTTCCACTTTTCCACTACTTCAAACACTGCTACAAAAAAAAAAATTTGTACACGTAAATCTGTGAACATGAATGAGCTTATCCTCAAGTTAATTAGCCTGAAGAATGACTGATTTAGAATATATGCATTTCAGCTTTAGCTAGGTATTGCTAAATTTCTGTCCAAAGTTATTATACCAATTTACACTCCCTCAAATAATATACAACCCTATTTTCTCTATTTATGCCAAAGTGTTGTTATCAGACTTATTCATCTGTGCCTGTATGTTGGGTACTAAATTGTTTTTCTTTATGGGAGCATTTGTACTTCTCTGATTGCTAATGAAGCTGACCGTCTTTTATGAGTTTACTAGAAATTTCATATTTTATTTTGTGAATTTCTTTTTCATCTATTTACCTGTTCATCGATAGTTTTGTCCCCTGTATATTTGTGGAAGTTCAATACATTCTGCATAATAACGTTTTCTTGCTTACATAAACTATAGGCATCTTTTCCTAGTATGTGATTTATTTTACTCAATTGTTCTGTTATACCTATAGTTTCATGGAGAAGTTTTGATTTATAAAGAAATCAAATTTATCGAATTTGTTTTCTCCATAGAATTTGCTTTTTAAGATTTGCCTGAAAAAAACAATTCTTCTTCCCTAAATGTCACAAAGATGTTTTCCTACTTTTACCTCAAAATCATTAGAATTATGTTTATATTGAAACCTTCAATCTACATAGATTTTATTTTTCTCTGCATTGTGGAGTAGAGAGCATATTTGCCATGAAGAGTCAGTTTTCTCTGACCACTGGTGAACAGTGGCTCTTTCAACCCCAACACACACTTCAGTATTCATCCCAGGCAGGTTCCCATCATGCCAGGCAGGTTCCCAGGTTCGCCAGGTTGGAGTGCCGTGGCGCCATCTTGGCTCACTGCAATCTCCGCCTTCCAGGTTCAAGCTATTCCCAAGTAGCTGGAACTACTGGGATTTTATTCCTTAAACTTTTCAAGGGTTTGTCCATTTTTATTTAGCCCTATAAAGAAAAATCTCTATTTTTTAATCTCTCTATTGATGTTTCCTATTTCATTACTTTTTTTTCATATGTTAAACTTTCTGGGTTTAGGGGCTAATAGTAATTTTAAAACTATTTTTGGGAGAATTTGGTTTAATAATTTTTATTCCTACTTTCTAATATATGCATTTATGCCAATCTTTTTTATCCAAAACCAAATTTTATTAGAATACACAAGAGTTTTTGAATGTAGTATTTACATAGCTTTGTAATATTATTTAATTATTGTTGCGCTATACCATTTGGTCAACAAATTATTTAGAATTATGTTGCTTCTAAAATATTACCACTTTTTTTATTTCTTCTGTTAAGAAATGTATTTTTAGACTAGTAATTGTCCTTCTCTGGGTAATATGTTATTTTCTTTATCATTTTACTTGCCATGAATAAATTCCCTTTGGACTTGATGTTTGTTCCTATGATGACTTATTAAGAGTCATGGAGATGAAGATGCTCAAATCTCTTCGGTTCTGGAAATTCAGTAATTAGCGCTTCAAATTTTTTTTTATTGCATTCTCTCCATTTAGTTTTCCAGAACTCCCACTGATTTATAAGTTGAATATTTTCACTGTATCCCAACTGCACATCAACTCTTCTACTTGTGAGCTCCTAGGTTTTTTTTTTTTTTTGGAGTGTGTGTGTGTGTGTGTGTGTGTGTGTGTGTGTATGTGTACGTGTGGTGCAATTCTGTGCTGTTTTCCCTGGATATCTTCTTCTAATCTGTTTTTTAAATTTCATTGTGTTTATACTTGCTGTTAAATCCATCCACTAATTTTATAGTAAAGATTATATTTTTTATTTCTTTAAGTTCCACTGGGTTTCATTTATTCACTTTTTCAACATGCCTTATTGTTTTCTTAGGGGTTTGATTATATTTATCCCTGGAAACATCTTAATTTTTTTTTAAAAAAATACTTTTTCAGATTGCCATTTTATTATCTCAAATTGTTGGTCTGAGGATTAATTTTCATGGTACATGCCAGCTCTTGTGAATGTTGGGTTGTGTAATTCGTGAGTGTGAGGCTCTTGTTTGGAAGATCCCTTGTGGCCTGGCTTGTGATCGCACCCCATGGAGGGTTTTTGTTTACTTTTGCCAAGAGCCTCTGACAAGTAATTGGCCTGGGAATAATTCCTTAGTTCATGGCTTAGCTTGCTGGTTCCTGGATCACGTAAGTAGCGCAAATACAAGTTCTCAAAATATATTCCAGGTGCACACTTACGGTTTCAAATTCTATCAACTTTCATTTCTATTTTTGCTCAGAGTTCAGGCTGAGATGGGCTTCAGTGTTACCTTCTATGGATACATTCCATATGATTTTAAATAAGTTAAATGTGTTCTCCTACATTTGTCCCTAATTTCATATTTCTCGCAAGCTGGTTTTCCCCTTATCAATATGTCCACACTGCTGGACTTGGAGGCTGCATATGCATTTATAACTAAATTAGAAGCTATAGTTATTAAAACTACTAAAATAGCTGAAATGTTAATGATTTGCTTATCTCTACTATGTCCCTAATGACTAATGAAATTCTAAAAAGTTTTATGTTATTACACTCTTATTTCATTCACATTAGCATAATTGGTTAGCAAAATCTGTTGATTACCCTAACAATAATGGAATATTTGGGTGTGCGTCATTTTATGCAATTATATATGCATGTCAGAGGCAGTAAGAACTAGTGAGTTAACTACTCTACAGATACAAAGGATTATTTTATATTTAATTATTCATGCAATACTAGGATGCCCAAAACCTTTATTAAGATAAGCTAGAACAGAATTAATATATCATTACATATTTTAATTATTATATATGCAGCATATGAAAGTCAGGGTGTACAACCACCAAATCCTAAAAAGACTGAATTTAGAAAATTACCTGTTTTCCTCATTCAACAAGCTATATTTTCACAACTGTATTACAGTATAGTGATATATAAAATAATACACTAGTTCCCATGCCTGAAAATACAAAAAAAAGTGGAGTGTATTTTTTTAAAATCCTGAGACCCATGCATTTTGGAAAGTGATGAAATCTTACTTATTAAGAAATGGATAGCTTTCTAAGTAAATATCTCCTTTCATCACCTTGAGATGTTATTTCTTGCCTTTGGCCAAGTTGGCCCTTACAATTTCTCCTTCAAATTTTTTGAGCATGAAACCACACTAAGAAACATGTCTCAGAACTGGTGAAAGCTTAGCTTATATATCAGATTAAGTCTTAAGTGAGAATATGGTGCTGGGAAGAAGAAAGTGGTGTGTGGGAAACATGCACAGCCCTGAAGCAGGCAGGGCAGGTGCCTGCTCTTCATGGGAGGATGTGCTGCCTGGAGAGGGCCACAGGCTCGGTGTGGCTTTGCCTCCACTTGTCTTTGCTAGTTTATCTCTTCCTTCTTTTTATTTTATTTTTCTAGTTACCACAAAACTGTCTATATTTACGGGGTACATAGTGAGGTTTCCGTACATACAATGTATAGTGATCAGAGTAATCAGCCTATCATCTCAAACATTTATCATTTCTCTGTGTTGGGAATATTTAGCATCCTCCTTCTAGTGATCTGAAGCTATATAATATATTATTGTTAACTATAGTTATCCCACAATGCTATAGGATACTGTAGAATACTAGATACCTTGCTCATATCTTGCACTTTTAGGATAAAGAAGGCTAATAAGTCAGCTAAGTTTGGGGGGTCACTAAATTGTTGTCCATATTAGTATCTAGAAATAAATGGGTGGAAAAACAGCCCCAGGGCAGGCGGTGAGATCCAGGAAATTTTCTGTTATACCCTACTGAGCCTCTTTAGTCCTTGCTAGCTATGTTTTCCTACTTCTTTTTTTTTTTTTTTTTTTTTGAGATGAAGTCTCACTCTGTCACCCAGGCTGGAGTGAAGTGGCACAGTCTCTGCTCTCTGCAACCTCTGCTTCCCAAGTTCAAGTGATTCTCCTGCTTCAGCTTCCTGAGTAGCTGGGACTACAGGCGCCTGCCACCATGCCCAGCTAATTTTTGTATCTTTAGTAGAGACGGGCTTTCACCATGTTGGCCAAGCTGGTCTCAAACTCCTGACCTCAAGTGATCCATCCACCTCAGCCTCCCAAAGTTCTTGGATTACAGGCATGAGCCACCATGCCCAGCCTGTTTTCCTCTTCTTTAAAAGTCTACTTTTCTACTTGAGCTTGATGTCTACTTTCTATCCAAAATCCAACGTTGTAAAGTTCCCGTGACGCCAAGAGCTTCCACCTTTATGTGCATCAACTTCTAAAATCATGTTTCTTCTTTCATCATAAAAATGTGAATTGCTGGTTTTCAGTAAATGCTTTGATGTACCTAAAAGATTGTTCAACTTTTTCCCAACTTTTGTTAACTCCAGTGACCAACCACTTATCATTAAAAAATGTCCAAATCCTTGCTTCTCAATCACTAATTATGGTGGCCCATGAAAGAGATGGTCGAGGATCCACTGACCCAAGAACAAGGGTGGATACCAAGCCCAAGTACTCCACAAAATAACAAATTCTGTGAAAGCAATGCCAACATCTAATGAATTAGAGAATGAATAGAGTCCATGTAAATATGTATTTTGAGCCAACAAGATAAAGGCAATGAGAAGTGAGAGTAGAGTCCATGAGGGTTATTGCTGGATGGAAGAGTGTTGAGTCACTGAAGAAAGAGAATAATGTACTGCATATTTCCCTCCAATAATTTTGAGCCCAAAAGATGATATGCAGAGGGGAATCGGCCAATTTTTGAGACAAATATAGTTGAACCAATTTGTGTTTTCAGACACAGCCCAAAATAAAATGCATTGTCACATTTAGCCAATACTGAAAATAAATTAAAATAATGAAATTTCCACAAATGGTTGGTTTGAACACATGGTACAAGGCTGACCTTTTTTCCTTCTGGTTAAACACAGATGTATATGATTTACTCATAATCCCTTCATGCATACATTTTCAGCTATGGTTTATTTTTTCATTGTAGTAGCAGTGTTTCTTCTGTTTCCAAGTTAAAGGGTTTCCTCAGTTCCATCTAATTTCCTTTACATGGAATTTAACCTCTCCTCTTATCCCCAAAGCAAAGTTTACTGGAATTGACAGTCTAATTCAATGAAAAAGAAAATTGCATGTCCTCAAATATGTAGCCAACCCATACTCAAAGAGCTACATCAAAATAAAGACTAGAAACTTGTTTTTACTAAGTGGTTAGCTTGGTAAAATTTGTGAACTAGAGTAAGAGAGGCAAATTATTTTGGCCTTCCTGTTAGTGTTTAAGGCAGTTCTAGTGTTTGGTGAACTTGGCATCTCACACACAGATACACAGAAAGTCACCAAAATAACTGTGGCCACTTTTTCGATTGTGAAATATAAGTCAAGTTAATAAAATGGACTTAATTCTTCATGATCCACGTTCATAGAGTTGATACTTCAAACGTTTGTAGGGTATAGGAATTGAAAACCTAGATTTGAGGTCTCTCTCAGTTACGGGGAGTATAGTGCTGACCTCACTTCATTTCAATGGCCTGGTCACTAAAATGAGGATAGTAATGAAATCTTCCTCAATGGTTGTTGGGAAACTTTCCCCAGATGAATGTACTGAGAGCTGAACTGAGATAGTCAGAAGCCACAACACACATACAGAATCTGACTTCTTTGTAGCCCTTATCAGAGAAGGAATCATTTAAGGTTCTTAAGAATTGTGAATGACGTTGAGTAAACTCCCAATAAATATTAGTTATAATTGCTGACTCACTTAAATAGAATGCCACCTGGTATTCCTTGAATTTTTGCTTCTTGTTCCTTGAATAAATGTGTAATATGAATCATTAACAAAAAAGAGAAAAAAGTTGCTGTTTTAATTTGGGTTCCCTGAAAAACATCTTGAGAAAAGGGTTGGATTGTAACCCAAGAGATGGGCTCTTCCTGACGTTCAGTTCTTGCTTGGAAAGTGGAGGTAATAAACGATTTCATTTTATTTTGTTTTCCATCCTGTATCATGAAAGAGTTGGAATAAGAATGTAATAGGACACAAAGACAGCGCTATTATCTTACAAATTACTTCATTAGACAGAGAAAGTATGCATGTTGGTGAGAATTTAAAAATGCATTTTGCTTGGATAGTGTACAATTCATAACAGGGACTTAAATGTAAAGCGTACAAAACAGGAACAAATATTGTAAAAATCACCTTTACTAAGGCATATGAATTCTATCAGCTGCCTGGCATACTGTGGGCACAATTTACAAGTATTAATACATTTACTTCTCATTCAGTGCTTTCAGGGAGCTACTAGAAATTCTCCCATTTTACAATTAGGGAAATTCAGGCTCAGAAACTTCTGCATCCTGCTCAAGATCATCTCCTGTCGTCTTGAATCAGTATTTGAAGGGGAATAGCCTGAGCTCATACTCCACAAGCGTGGCCACAACTCCATGCCACTTGTTCATTTATCTTTTGGGATGCCTTGTAATGATTGGCTTCATGTCCTCTCTACCTTCTCAGCTAACAGCTCAGTGACAGCAGGGTTCTTTGTACCTTATTCACCCTTACGCTGCCTGTGCCTCACACAGCGCCAGACACCAAGGAGGTGGAGAATAGATACTCGTCGACTGATTTGTCATAACATAGAGCTGCTCATTTCCACCTGTATTTCTGGTGAAAGAAAGAAAAGCTGAGGTCAGTTTTATGGGCCATTAAATGTTTTATGCTCCCGGCAAAGCTGACTCAGTCCCCAGGCAGGTTGTGTTCTGTGCTGCTATGTTTCGTCCACAAGAGCTGGGCTTATACTTCAAATAATACATCCATTCTAATCACAGAAAATGCATTTTCAGTTCTAAATCAGTCACTCGTGTTATATTTGAAATATACTTTCCAGGTTCAAGCACCTTTCCCTGTGATGGACAGCTTTGTATTTAAAAGAATCCAGATTCCCTTTGTTTGCACTGTACTTTCTCCTAAAGAATTTGAGAACTCCTGTTAAACACAATGCTTTTGTTGGAGGTTACAGGTTGTTTTGATTAGAAAATGTAAACAAAGTAGATTCACATTGTCCACAGAATCTGGAAATTACACCTTTACCAGTTATGGTGTTTATGCTGTTTTCTATCCTTTTAGATAAAATTTACCAGAGGAAATGACTCAGCAATGAAAATATTATGTTGTCCAGGTGCCAGTGTTTTACAGGCTGGTGGTAGTGAAGACGTTAGGTTGAGAGTAAATGTCCTTTAAATAAATTGTGTGTAACCTTGCCTATTCAGGAACAAAAATGAAAATCAAGAAGAAGAAGGAGGAACAAGAGGTGAGAGAAAGGGATAGTTGGTAGCGTATGTTGGAGTTTTATTTATAGTAACTAGCTAGTAAACCATTAATATATCAGCATATTGATGGGTTTTTCCCCGTGTTTTCTTTGAAATCTCTGACTAGATTTTGTGATTAAGTGTCACTCTGTAAATGATAAAGTAAATGAGACTTCATAGTGAATACTAATATTGAAAAAACTGAAAACAGGATTATAAAAGGTTTGCTTTTTGTATAGCAGCAAAGCAACTAGGATCTGTTTATAGAAGTAGACATTAAAAGCAGAGTCTCCTACTAGCACCTTCTGAGAGAACCACAACCCTTATTTAACAGTTTATCTATTTTTGTTTCTAACACTGGCTCCTAATTTGTCCATGTATTAAATATTTTCCTGGAAGAGTATGACATAAACCTGCAAACATCCCAGTGGTTGGAGAGATGCTTAACAAACACAGATGGATGCTGGTGATATCATAAGTACCAGACCCGAGAAGCATCCTTTTACATTTTTCAATCAGCCACTTATCTAAAGAGAATTCATATCTTTCCCCGATCCTCCCTACCTCCTCCTAGAAATCTCAGCCCTAGCCAGGGACATGAGTCGAAGGGCTTTTCTTTCTCTCTGGCATTATTATAGGAGGACAGTGTGAGCGCTGCAGCAGGTCTGAAGTGAGAGGAGAAATGAGAGACCTTTGCTCCATGGCTGGGCAGAGGCAACGCAGTCCACGCGGATGTCCCTGCTGGGCTATTGTGTTCTGAGATATGGAACTCGGCAGTGGTCGTGATGCCCCCAATCACAGTGGAATTTAATCATTTCTTATCAAAGCATTGTCTCTTCCAGATATTTTTCTCACTCTAAACAGCCGGCGGGAAAAAAAGAAAAGATAAGAGGAAGAAGGGAGCTGAGAATCTTTTGTGAAAGGTGAGGAGGTGAGAAGGTGAGGAGGCACCAGCCACACTGAGGAAGGAAGGGCTGTTGCCAAGAAAAATGCTTCTCCATCATAACTTGTCCTTTCCTCTGCTTTTCCTCCAGCTCTTTTCCTCCTGAACACCACTTAGTGATTGGCACGAAGCACATTTTACCCCTCCCCAGAGGCAGCCGACCTGCAAGACCTGCAATAGTCACACTGTGTTAAAGAGCATCTACGCGGGAGGTAGTGCTAACCTCAACAGACTTTCAGAGGATCCAAGTCTGTGTGCATTCGGCAGGAACGCAGGTCTGTAAAGTGACAACACAGCCATTTCATAATCACCCATCTGTAAGACATTTATCAAGAGCCTGAAAGCCTGATAACTTATCTCCCCTCTTGAAAGGGGTATCCTAGTCCAGAGGATCCCAAGACTTCTCGGCTTGCCAACCTTTTAATTCAATCCCCAGGATGATTTCTTGATGTTTAGCAAAGCTACTCACCAGGCTCTGTGAGTGGAAAACTCTGGGAAGTGTTCCCTGAAAGTGCTCAGACCCTGGCAGAGAACAGGGTCTTTGTGCTGTGAACTCTGATCCTGTCCTGTGGGCCTGAACCTAACACATCCTATAGTGTCCACCAAGATTTGCATCAACCATGTCCAGGTCCTCTGCAGATCATCCCTGGGAATGCTCAGGCCTTTGGATGTGCTTTCATAGCTGGTCTTTGCTTTCCTCTTGTCTCTGGGTCTCCAGAGGGACTCCACTGTCTTGCTCAGCTCTCTAAGCCCAGAGTCTGCACAGTGCCTGAAAGAGAGCATGTGCTTAGTGAATATTTATTGTGTGGATAAATTGATGACTACATGAATTAGAAACAACCACTCAGCCTTATAGGGTAGCTGTATGTGGTAGGCAGAATAATGTGCCTCCTCCCGAAGACATTGTAGCAGAGGAAAAAATGTATTTTTCTTACGCCAATCTTAAGTTCACTGATTGAGACCCTGCAAACTAGACTGATAAAACATAGATTAACAAGACAAAAACAATCAGGAGTTTACTAACACTCACATCCTACATACACATAAGAAAACCCAGTGATGAGTCACTCTACTGGGTGGTTTGAACTTGGGCTTCTATAGCATCTTAACAAAAGAACAATTAATTATTACAGTGATGGCAAGAGAAAGAAAACGGACATTTAGTTTCCAGAGCAGCAAACTGGGAGATAGTAAACATATGAGGCTACAAGGCAAGGGCTAGTGAGTGAGGTTTGTTAGGTCAACTTCTGTGGACCCTACAGGATGATAAGGGGCTAGAGTTTTTTCGGTGATTAACTCCTGTCCTTCTGGGTAGAGAGAAAGGGAGACACCTTTACAAATGATGCCCTGCCTTAGGCATATGGGAAGGGTTTGAAAGATTTTCTTGTATTAGCATATTCTCAATTGTCTTTAGCCCAAAAGAATCCTTATGCCAAAGTGGCATATTTTGGGGTAGCATGTTCTGTACCTCCAAAGCTTGAATTGATTTTATTTCTTCTCTGACTGTGCAAAGGCACTAAAATGCAAGGATGCAAATCAAATCTCAGGCTGTCTCTAAGACACAGGCCAAGGGACAGCTTTCTGAATAGTGAACTAAGGGGATATGTTAATAAAACAAACTGATACAAAAACGTATGTTCAGAGATAATTTATGTGGTAGTTACATGACAGCCTCAAAACACAAGATTAAGATAGAGAAACCAAACCAGGAACTAATAAGAAAATCAACCATTTTCAGGTTCAACCATTAACTCCAACAAGGATAAAATTGCCAAACAAGTTATTTAGCATTGTGTGAGTGAAATATGTAGATTTCCATATATCTTGTTATCTGGCTGACTGACTTGAAGTCATTTTAATTGAGTCAAGCCTAATCCATGCAGTTTTTTGGAAGTAGAATCCAATAGCCAGGGTAATGTCAGTTGCTATGACAAGCATCCATTCAACTATACAATGGCTCGGAAAAAAAATGAGGTCTGTTTCTCATTCCAAGGTGATGGAGGTCTATTTATCGTTCAAAGAATGTGCAGAAATTGGTGTTCCTAGTCAATGGATGGCTCTTTTTAAGGAAGTGACTCAGAGACCTGGGTCCTTACATCCTATGGTTCCACCAGCTTCAACACTTCCAAGGCTGCCATGCTCCTGTGCATGAAGGTGGTGAAGAAGAAGATAGCATTGGGAATTGTACATGACAGAGTTTTATGCCTGAAAATGGCGAGTGCCACTTCAGTTCTCATTTTATAGGGTAGATATATGTCACATTACCATTTAACTGCAAGAAACCCTAAGAAATATGGTTCTGCCATTTTTCCGGAGTGAATGGAAAATGAGTGAGTAGTTACCTGGTGTCTGGCACTAGAAATCAGGGAAGTATCTGTGATATACCCTAGCTAAAGCCCTGGGAGTTACCACCTCTCACAGTTGATTGCAGTCTTGAGCAATCACATATCATGAATATTTACAACTAAATGAATAATTGAAGTTCACCTGTTTCAAACCTTCCTTTGCAGATAAAAACAAAGTCTAGAAAAGCGAAATTCGTCTTCGAAGACCATGCAACTTAGCTAATGACAAAACTAAAACAATTTTCAAGTCCTAAATTTGTACCTAAATATTCTTTCAACCACAATTTGTAATCCAGTATTTGATTTTTTAATCACAAGCTCTCTCTTTGGGAATTATTAAAGTGAGTAATCATAAATCACTAGAAGTTTGGGAAAAGTGATAAAAACTTAGGGATTATGTCTGTTAAAATATATTACAGGATAATGCCCATCAATCAACAAGGGAAAAAAGAAAAGGTGGTATATATTTATACCATGGAATACTACTCAGCCGTAAAAAGAAACAAAGTAATAGCATTCACAGCAACCTGGGTAGGATTGGAGACCATTATTCTAAGTGAAGTAACTCAGGAATAGGAAACCAAACATCGTATATTCTCACTCTTAAGTGGGCATTAAGCTATGAGGAAACAAAGGCATAAGAATGATATATTGGACTTTGGGGACTGACGGGAAAGGGTGGGAGGGGGGTGAGGAATAAAAGACTACACATTGGGTACACAGTACACTGCTCAGGTGACGGGAGTGCTAAAATCTCAGAAATCACCACTAAAGAACGTATTCATGTAACCAAACACCCCCTGCTCCCTAAAAACCTATTGAAATTTAAAAAAATTAAAAAACAAGAAAATTCCATATACATAACATAAATTCGAACATTTTTAAGTGCACAGTGTTAAGTACATTCACATTCTTGTGCAAGAAAACAGAAGTAATTAGATAATAACAAGTGTTGGTGAAGATGTGGAGCAATTGGTATCCTCATATACTGCTGTTGGGAATGTGAAATGGTGCAGTAACTTCGGAAAACAGTCCAGCAGTTTCTCAAAAAATTAAATAAAGCGGTACCATATGACCCAGCAATTTCACTCCCAGGTATGTAGCCAAGATAAATGAAAACACTTGTCTACACAAAAACTCATGCAAAAATGTTCTTAGCAGCATTGTTAATAATAGCCAAAAGATATGAACAAGCCAAATGTGTATCCACTAATGAATGGATACATAAAATGTGATACGTTGATATAATGAAATATTATTCAACCATATAAAGGAACAAAAAACGAATACATGCTACAACATGGACGACTCTCTAAAATATTATACTAAGTAAAGGAAGTCAAACACAAAAGACCACGTTATATGATTCCATTTATATGAAATGTCCAGAGCAGGCAAAACTATTGGAGTCAGCAAGTAGATTAGCGGTTGCCTAGGGCTGCTGGGATTAGAGAAAAATGGGAGCGTAACTGCTAAAAGGTACTGGGTTTTTTTTTAAGTGATAATAATATTATTAAATTGATTGTGGTGATGATTGCACAACCTTGTGAATATAATAAAACCACTGAATTGTATATTTTTTAAAAGGGTGAATTTGACATTTTAATTATATCTCAATAAAGCTGTTACCAAAAAGAATGTATTGCAGAAAATAAGTGAGCTGGTGAATAATTGTTATTTAAACACCTTTGATTCTTTGGAAGGAGATTACTGTGGAGTACAGACAATCGTAATCTCAGCTTCCTCACATTTTCAACACTTTGCAAAACTCATAGCAATGCCATTTATAAACATAAGAAATGAGAAGATAAGGACTTTTTTATGCAGTTAATATGGCCTTTTGATTCTGTATAAAGCATGCCTACAAGAAGTAAATGAAGTTAATGACCACTTATTGTCTGCAGGAAGTGTTCAATACTGATTATGTTAAAATAACAATGTCTTTTTTTGGCAGACAGTTTTAGTATGGCAACAAAGAATATGAACCTCTATTTACCAGATTGAATCATTCAGTTAGCTTAGTTAAACTTTATAGCTAACATCCTATTAGATTCACTGGAATTTGGTACTATTTATTGATTCAAAAATATTTATTTTTAATATTTTATTTTATTTCAACAGTTTTTAGGAAACAGGTGGTTTCTGGGTACACGGATAAGTTCTTCGGTGGTGATTTCTGAGATTTTGTTGCACCCATCACCCTGAGACCCAATAATGTGTCAAAGAAACTACTAAACACAAAGTTTAGGTTCAAAAGACTCGTGCTCTTCTGGAAATGTATTTTCCTATTTATTTGCTTCCTTGTTACATGTTAGAGGAGGAAGATTGATAATTCTTCCCATCTAATGAACTCAGAGCCAATAAAGCATTGTTGCTTTCATGGAATTACGTTGGGACATTTAACTGAAGACAAGCCACTTTCTTGGAAACATAGAACGTTTGTCTGGCTGCTGGAGGACCTGTAGTCTACTTGATAAAAAGTAAAGGTGACTGTCCCTGGAGGCAAATATATGGACCAGGAGGTGTCTATGTTTACAACAAAATGCAAATACTACCAAGACTCTCTTCCTTTTTGTGAAATGTAGCTTGATCTCATTATGAAAGATAAAATGTGACTTTATGAAACTGTATAATATATTCCCACTTTGGTAAATGAAAAGTAAATTTGACAAGAAGAATATCTTCCACAATATTAAAAGTTGTGATATAGGAGTAGCAGAATTACAGGTGATTTTAAAACTCGTACAGCAGATTTCAGTTACTTTTCACATCCTCCCTTCTCTAGAACAATACCTGGGGAAGAGGAGGGAAGACATTTTCAAAGCTCAAGAGTTTCTCATTCATTCATTTATACACTGGTGCTTTTTGAGCAGGTTCTGCACCACGCACAATGACAGGCCCCAGACAGGCCCCGGGGGGCACACTGGACGTCAGTCTTCCTGTCACTTAATTTGGAGTTTCTTTAATACATAGACTTCACCATTTTTACTTTATACAAAGTTCCAGCCACACAAGTGTGTTCTTGTCCTTGATTGCTCTGTGATAGGTGTGTGTGGGGCGGGGAAGGCAGAGCTGTCCAGGGGTTGAGAGTCATTGAGTTCAAAAACACTTGAAACAGTAAGTTTCATGTTATTCTTGACTTAAGGTATCATCGACTTACACAAGTGTATTGAAAGATTTTCCTTCGCATGCTTTCATTTATATACAAAACCAAATTATCACATTGAATGCTATATTTTATGTATAAGATAAATATACATATTATATATGTAATATGTATACATAAAGTATATGTATTACATATATACATTTACTCACATATGTAAATATATATGTTTTCTGTAATCATGAGCTGAAGAGCAGTAACTGGGAGAAAAATGTAAATATCACACACTGACCATTCTGAGAGTACGGCAAAATACCTTTTGTATGTGTGTGTGTATATACATATATGTGTGTATATATACATATATACATATATATGTGTGTGTATATACATATATGTGTGTATTATATATACATATGTATAATACACACATATATATACACACACAGACACACACACAGAAGGGTGTATATATATATTTACACACACACACACACACAGTCTGCAGAAATATATATTTAATGGGAATTTTGAGTCAAAGAGATAGTGACTAAATTAAGCATATTGGCAGTTTGAAAATAACACCTATGGCTGGGTGCGTTGACTCATGCCTGTAATCCCAGCACTTTGGGAGGCCAAGGCGGGTGGATCACCTGAGGTCAGGAGTTCAAGACCAGCCTGGCCAACATGGTGAAACCCCATCTCTATTAAAAATACAAAAACCAACTAGCCATAGTGGCAGGCGCCTGTAATCCCAGCTACTTGGGAGGTTGAAGCAGGAGAATCGCTTGAACCCAGGAGGTGGAGGTTACAGTGAGCCGATATCTGGCCACTGCACTCCAGCCTGGGTGACAAGAGCAAAACTCCATCTCAAAAAATAATAATAATAACACCTATGAAAATTAAGAGTAAATATTCTTAAAGTTTATTTTATTCTTATACTGTTTGCATTTACATGTGAGCATCTGACTGTAACTTGAACATCAAAATTATGTTTGGAGAATTCACTTTACTAATGAACAGTTCTTAACAAATGACCATGTGAGACTCAACTCTGGCTCTAGCCTCCAGCTGCTTCTTAGCCAAATATTTTTGAGTCTGGAAAGATGACTGGAAATTACATCAAAACAACATTTTGCATGGATTATCTGATACGTCCTTATTTTTGGCCAGACCAAAAATACTGTCAAAAGAGACTGCTATTTCTTCTTTTCACCCTGACAGAAACATGAAAACTATGATCAAAGTTTTCACTGAAGGGTCCCATGTAATGTTCTGTGCTTTGTTTTTCAGCAAAAGACTGCTTTATAGTAGTTTGAATTTAGGTTAACATTTGAGATCTGGTTTTCTTTCTTGGCTGAGGTAGTTCAGCTCTCCTTTGTTTGTTTAAAAGGAAACATCAACTTTCCAATTTACTCTCTAAAATTGGTTTTTGTAGTTCCCTGCTGGACTGGAAAGGCACCATCTGTTTTAATAATACTGAAGTGAAAGGGGGAAAGTTTGTGAAATGGAAGTCAACTGGGAGTGCTCTTAGTCATCACAGCTCCACTTGGAGAAGAATCCACTGTTAAGTTCATGAATTTACGTTAAACCCTGGTCAACCCAGGTAGTGTAACAATCAACACAGACTTCCATGTTCTGGCAAGGGACAGTCAGTGAGAAAATTTTACATACTGGCAAACCAGCAGCAAAAATAATCAAAATATCAGGCAGGGAAGAAAAAAAAAAACGTAAACATGTACGAAGAAAACTTCAGCTGTGAAAGAAATACGATATTTAAGTTGACTAAAATCTTTCCTTTTTCCTTTAATTCATAAACTTCACCATTTTTGCCCCTCCCTCCCTCACTGCCTTCCTTCCTTCCTTCCTTTCTTTCTTCCTTCCTCCCTTCCTTCTTCCTTTCTTTCTTTTTTTGGACATTTACATATTATTAGATTTGTTCAGGTTTTGATCATTACTGGAAGATGAGAAATTCTTGCCTCCAAGCCCAAATAATGCTAACCCTTATTCTCTGGACATTTGACAGCAGAATTTCCTTATCCTGACACTGAAACAAAGATTCTATTTCTCAGCATTGAAAGGTCTGCCTACAACTCATCTGTTCATTGGTTGATGGATGGACTGATTTGTTCTTACCTGGAACTGATTATTTAGTAACTAAACTACACACATACAAACACACACACACAACAAATGCACATACATACAAACAAAAATTAAAAAACCACACACACTTAAACACATACAACACACATGCATACATAACACACACAAATATACACACACGTATCTGGGAGGTCCCAACCTTCCAGGGGGAAACTGTCTCATGCTGCTTAAAGCTTCCACAGGCCGCACCTGCTGTTCCAATTTGCCCCTCTCTCCAGTGGTTTGAAAGGTAAGCTGCAAATAAATGAGCACTATGTATAGCTGACCTTGCTTAGAGTGGCATTTTAATGCATTTGACTACACCTGCCTCTAATTTCAGTGTTGATATTTTAATGCAATCCAACAAATTTCTAGGAGTGAATTTGCAAAATTTAAGCAAGTATTGCAAGATGAGCTGGGAACAAGCAGGTGCTCTTCTGTAAAAATATACATGGGGCCGCTGCCGGCACTGATTTCCTTAGCATGTTATCAAATGCCCTGCTGTAGCAACAGTCTTTTTCTGTTTTCTTCTGATGCTTAACTGGAGGATGATTCAATCGTAGACCAAGAAACCGTGGTTGAATTACAACATTCAAAACAGCCCGTGTGTAATGGCTCAGAGCTCCTCTGGATGGATCTTGCATCTCTAAGCTAAATGCAAGTTCACAGATTCCTAAAAATACCCCCTGATGTGAGTCATCCTGTTCCAAAGAGCTCTGAAGAATGTTTTCCACAGAAGTGGCGAGGCACAGCCCCAGGGTGTGGAGCTCTCGTCTGAGTTATGTAGGCAACTTGCGTCAGCCACATACTATGTTATAGTCTCCATATTCCCTGGCGCTGAGCGTGGATAGCTGGAATGATCTGTTGAAATACAAACCTCTGCAGCAGCTTCAACTCTGCCTCCCATGCAACTTCCCCAAACAAAATGGATCTGTGTCAAAGGAGAGGTGCGCAGGTCACTCAAGGTGTGCTTTCTATCAAAGGGTTTTTTTCAAGAAAGAAACCCAAAGCCAGAAATAAACATGGTAGCCTTGGGCTTTAAGGAAAAAACAAAACAGACAAACAAACAGACAAAAAAAAAACCTGTCTTTCTTAAAGCTTCCCCATTTTCAGACTCTCACACTGAAAGTTGAGAGATAGTTTTGCCTCCTCCGTGAGGTGGGTGGAGGGTGCTGTGAGAGAGGGAATCTCAAGCTGGCCCAGATCAGCTGTGGAATAGATGCACTGAGAAGATGCTGAGGTTTCCACATAGATGCCCCCTTCTGTCACAAGTGCAGACTCTGAAGACGCAGTTGGCCTGGGCCCCATTGCTCTGCTGTCTCCAGGAGTCATTAGTGGCACTTTATCAGAGGATCCTGGATGAAAGGAGAAATCAAATCATTTTCTAAGAGTGGGACTTCAGGCATGTGAGCCTGTGTTTTAAGAGAGAATAACTCTTTTAATGCTCCGGAAACTGCACAGCTGGAAGACTGCGGCTCAATGTACACATGTGGATAGCACAGTTGCCTTGGGTCTTTCTTCAAAATAATAGGATATAAATTATACACGAGGAAAACAAGAGAGGGTTGGTGCTGATTATCAGCTTGGACAATCAATCATACACTTTAAATTTGAAAATAAAATATTTAGGGGCACATGGCTTCATTGACTCTAATAAAAGTGTTTTATCCTCTGATTCTCACAGAAAATCTCTAGAATCTTGCTCTTTTAAGAATTCATTATTCCCTTGTTTCCAAATAGGAGCTTACCAACTATACAATAATTTTTTAAAAACAATTTAAAAGTCATATGTAATTTAGAAATTTGTCAGATTACTACCTCGTAGTCTAAGCAGCAGTTACAAGGTTATCTAGAGACTGTTTCAGAATCTTTAGTTTTTGAGCCCTATTAAAAGAAACATATTCCTTACTTTATAAAGACATAAATGGTCAAGCAATTTTAAAAAGCAACCAACTAATACTTTATTAAAATTCATACAAAAATTTACCATCTTAACCATTTAATTTGAACAACTCAGAGCCATGTAGTACAAGCACAGTGCCGCACCAATGTCATCACTCTCTGGTTCCTGAATGTTTTCATCCCTCCGGAAGGAAACCCCACACACATTAAGCTGTCACTCCCCATTCTCTCCTCTCTGCAGACTCTAGCAACTCTCAATTTGCTTTCTGTCTGTGTGGATTTGCCTATTCCCGCGATTTTATCTAAATGGAGTCAGATGGTGTGTGGCTTTGTTTACTTAGCATGACGTTTTCCAAGTTCATCCATGTGGGAGCGCATGTTAGTGTTTTTCTCCTTTTTATGCCTAAATCATATTCCATTGTATGGGTGGACCATGTTGGGTTTATCCATTCAATCGTGGATGGGTATTTGGTTTATTTCTACCTTTTGGCTATTATGAATAATGTCGCTATGATTATTCATACACAAGCTTTTGTTTGAACACCTGTTTTCAGTTTTGGGGGGTATATACCTTGGGGTGGAATTGCTTCGTCATAGGGTAATTCTACCTTTAGCTTTCTGAGAAACCAACAACCGTTTTTTCACAGTGGATACAGTGGTTTCACCATAGTCCTTTCCCACCAGCAATGTGTGAGGGTTCCAGTTTTTCCTCATTTCCAGCAATACTTGTTATGTTCATTAAAAAAAAAATAGTTACTATAGCCACCCTAGTGGGTACGGGGTGGAATCGCATTGCGGTAACTCATTATTAAAATGCAATCTGAAGCAGCACCGGAATTACTGTGCACAGAGTGAGGTAAACTAGCAGGCTCATTCTATTTTCTATTTTTCTTTTTGTCCCATAAGAATATTTAGGCCTATTCTAACAAAATGGCCCAACTCTCCACTTTTTGCAGAGGCAGATGACATTTAATCTATAGCCATGTGTGTCTGATTGAATACACCATCTCCCACTACTCTTGTAATGGCAGATTTCTTGGAAGGAGTGGTTATTTACATTCTGGTCCTCCCCATTCCCACCCCTGGCTATTTCTTGACTAACGCTGATGTTCTACTTTATCTACACCAGAGAGACATTTCCTGCAAAGGTCCTCATGCTACCTTGGTCCCTCCATCTAGTCTCCTATGTTGAGTCCTTCTGCTCCTTGGCCTGCACCAGGCTGACCCTGCTGGCCTGCAGTTCTCAGAACATGCACTTCTCTTAGCATTCATGGCCTGCTACTCTTCTGATTCTTGGGGGTTTTCTTCTTCTGATCCTTATGTGCCCATCCTGACCACTTATCAGCTGTCCCTGCTACCCAGTGACATCTTTCCTTCTCCTTCCCTAAGTGCAGGGATGATTGTTCTCCTTAATGCACACTCTCCTTAAAGAATCTTGTATGCTTTTTTTGCTTTGTTGTTTTGGAGGTGTGTGTGTGTATATGTGTTTGTATGAGTGTGCACCCGTGTGTGTGCATGTGTGTACATGAGCATGAGTATGTGCATGTGTGTGCATGTTTATGTGTGTACATGCATGTGGGTGTGGTGCATGTATGTATGTGTGTTTATGTGGTGCATGTATGTGTGTATATGAGCATGATGAGTGCGTACATATATGTATGTGTGTGCACGAGCATGTTTATGTGTACATGCATGTGTGTGGGTGTGGCGTATGTATGTATGAGTGTGTATATGTGTGTGAGTATGTGTGTATGGGGTGTGTGTGATTAGTAATTCATCTACTTATCAATATTGAGAAATTAGTGTCATCTTTTAGGCCTTCGTTTCCATCCCCAAATCTAATCAGTTTTCAAATTTTCTGATTCTGTTGCCTTTCAGATTCCAATTCTGCCTTTTCTGATTCTAAATGCTTCTCAGATCCTAGGAAGTAGGAGAGAATCAAGTGATGGGGTGAAAAGAGTCAAGACATATTGAAAAAGATGTTAGGAAACAACAGGTAACTTTTGTTACTCCCAGCATGGCCAGTGATCAGCACTTCTGTTCAGTGTGGTTGCACGTTTGTAAAAATCACTGAAAATGTCTTTCTAGAATAAGAAAGTCAAGATTCCGTACAATATTCACAGTAAACATGATCTGTTTTACAAAACTATGGCTCACTCATTCCAGACATTATTCATTCTTAGAGATTTATTTGCCTCCTAGATTTGTCTAAATGACAGAGAAATGTTGACTTGAAATCGTGAGATCATCAGGTCCAGGATAAGTTCTGAAAAGTGGGGCAGTTTCCACTACCTCATGCAGCAGCCTATTTCTCCTTCTACAAAATGAGAGAGATTAGAATAAAAGATCTCTAAGATATCAAAAAAGTGTAGTTCTTGGACGCAACCAAAAGAATCAAAATCCCATTGCCCTAAGCAGAAAAGGAATTTGTTGAATGAATATTAACAGTTTACAGAAATGATAAGAAGTGTTGGAAATGAGGCTGGGGAAGAATGAGGACCCAGAGGAGGCTGGGCTTTGGGGAACGTGGCAGAGGCCACCAGAGGCCTGCCTGCCAGGCCAGAGGTTTTCTGCCTCAGCAACCGATCCCACCCCTCTGCCCCCACCACCAGTGCTGCTGGACTGTAACCTGCATCACCTTCCCAAGCAACCGTCTACTGTCTCTGGGGCACGTGACACTTCTTCAAAATTAAATTAAAAAATAATTCTTACTTCTAGCATCCAATGGCCTAACACAGATCACATCCTCCTATTACATTGACTTGGGGGAAGAAGGAGGAAATACCTGCCCCTTTGGTTTCTAAGCAGTGGGGTGGGGTCCCGAGTCCTACAAAGTCTCACTTTTAGGGGAGATCCCCTACAACGGTAAGCGTTTTCATAAAGCTGGAAGAAAGAAGATAAATTTTCACCATATTATGACTGTGATGTTTGCAAAAGAGATTTTTCAACTTAGATTGCTCCAGGCTGTACTGAAAACCTGGATTACTGGGCTCCTTAAGATGCTGAAAGGCAGGAAAAAGGAGGGAGGAGGAGGAAGGAAGTCAGAAAAGCAAGCAGTGGGAGAGCTGGAAGAGATACAGTATACAGAGCAAGGACAAATGTTCTGGAGGAAAATATTAAATTTTCTCATTTGGAACTCCATCAGGTTTTGTGGAACCTAAATTTTATACAATTCCTAGAACCTTAAAAACAAAAAAAAGATCAGAATTATGAATACAAAAAAATGGTACAAAAGTAAATATTTGTTTAGGGAAGCAGAGGCATCCTAACGCATCACTGCAGCTCTGAAGACTCAGGCCTTGCCTAAAAGGATTTTGTGGCCGAGGTTAGATGTGGGCAGAGATTAGTCTTTCTGGGCGACTTACAAGACAAGCTCACATGGAAAGGCTTCCTTACTCTCAACCTGGCCTCCCTCCATCAACAGCACTGTACAGCTCCCATCAACACCTTCTCTCACGGTGTGGGAAGCTTCGAGGGATGCTCAGTGAATCTCCCTGGGCTCCTCTCTCTCCTCCCATCTGAGGGGTGGGAGCTGGCTTGTGGTATATCCCTCCACACATTAACTCACAACACAGTTGCTGAGGATGTGCCTTGGGTCAGGTCTGGTGCTAAGATGGGGATCCATTTACAACTGAGCAAGACATGGGCATTGCTCTTGTGGTAATTAACACACAAGTAAAGAGAAAGAAATTTAAGAAAATTAAAAAGCTTCTGAAGTCACAAGTAATCCTCCACCCAAGCAGAAAACAAACATGTCTTCTTATTGCAGGCTTTGCTAGAATCAGGTGCACAGTTGTATATGAACCTTAAATACTTCAGACTTATAAACACCATTTTTGTATAATATTGATTCTTTTTATTAAATAAAGTGAAATTACAAATTAGAAGCTAACATGTAAGTTAGTCTCTCTGTGTGGACACGGAGGAGGGAAAGTGGGAGGGACATGAGGGCAGGGCGAGGGCCAGGCAATGGTGTCAAGGGTCAGAGTGCAGTTTCAGAGAGAGTGATGATGCCCAAGGGAGACTTTGAGAATCCCTGGAATACCAGCATGCCACATAAGCTGGAACCTGCCAGAGCACCCCAAGGTCTATAAAATCAGCGACTCTTTGCAATACAACAGCACAACCAAAAAAGCTCTCTTTAATTAACACCCAGGATAGGACACACAGCTTGAGATGTGTCACATGGCAGAGGAATGCAAGTCAATACAGAAATCAAATTCATGACCCTACAGTAAATGCCATTGGCAGGCAGGTGCCATTGACTGGAACAGCTTTTTCCCCAAACCACATAGGCCATCTTCCTTGCTGCTGGAGATAAAGCATCCTTCACGAAAACTCAGAAATATGAATGTTCTGTGGAGCATGTGGTGGGTGGAGCCTCCATATGATGTATAGAGGCATAGAAATACATATACATAGAGATGTTTGTATCTCTCTATGTGTAGGTGAAAATGTGTAAGCATACTTTCTCATTATTGGATTATGAATGAATAGCTGACCATGAGTACAAGGTTTGCCCACTCTCATTTCTGACGTCATCTTAAAATCTCAACTTGTGCATCACATGTGGTTTTGAGCTACATGTCAGTCAAAGAAGCTCTTGAAAATTGCCACTTTTCTGAAATGTGGGCACAGTTGTAAGTGAATTGAGCACAATGGGTAACTGGCTCCAGAGTGGACCAAGAGCTGAGAAACCTACTTGGTTGAGAAACGCAGAAGACAGACGGTACTATGTAGTGCTATCCTACTAGTCCCTTCTTTTAACCTTGAGCATAGCAGCATTAACATTAATTTAAAATTAATCTGTTATGCAACCTTAAATCAGCTAATTAGAAAGGGCAGAACACTAATTACTTGACCAAATTGGCTTCAACTCATGCTTAACAACCAAATCTGCACAATTGCTGCCAGATATGAATCTGCAAAAAGTGATATACATAGAAATCTACACACAAGCACGCGCGTGTGTGCACACACACACACACGCTACACTTTCCTAGTGAGTTTAGTGCATAGATTATGAAGCTAGTGTCTTCACAGTAGCTTTGTTTTTCCTGTGCTGCAAAAGGACTGGCAGCCCTTCTCAAATGACCCTACTGCCAAAATGTGATTTTAGAAACACGTAATTATCATTTGTTTCTGCAGCAGCCTGCCTATAGGTGCTTCATCCGAAAAATTTATGACGATAGGGATGGAGTCCAGAGAGCTTTTAGGGAAATAATTTGTATTCATCCATGGCACCATTTTAAGTGTTTAAAGGCTTTCCATCCTTTGAAACTTTATTTCTACTTAGACCCATCCCATCCGGACCCAGCTTCAGCTGTGCTCCATTGACCTGAACCTGCTCTCTGTCTGTGTCTGGCAGGTACTGACCTAAGTGTGCCTTCACATGTTTAGCTGCTTCATTATTTGATCCACATGCATGGGGATATTGCATTGTATTCATGCTCCACCCTGAGGAACAGAAGCTGCAACAAGGTGCCACTGTCTCAAACACCACCTGCTTGCTGGGGGTCACCTTTAAGATGTGACAGTTTTAGTTTCACCATAAACGGAATAGAAATCAGTAGAAATATCTGTGGAAGCCAGTGTGAACTTTATGGTGCCTTTGAACCTCACAGGGTAAAGTTCTTATGGCACACTGCTCAGTAATATGATCTTCCTGTTGGCCTCAGGGATCTCAGAAAGGGAAATCCTCTATTTTCAGTGGCCCAGCTACACAAACAGTGCAAGGAGGCAAGTTCCATATGCAGAATCCAGACACCCACCAGGCCTGGCTGCCCTGGTTCCTGTTTCTTCCCCGTCACCACCACATTTCTATGCTGTCAGCAGGACTCAAAAGGCAAATTGATTTAGCTCATTACAATTAGGATGAATTAAAAGCAATATTTTTACTTCACTCAAAAAGTCAGCAGGTCACAAAATATATTGCTCTGCATATATAGTAGGTAATGCCTCACATATGATTTATTGGAGAATGAGCTAGTTCATTTCCAGGAATCTTCTAGATAAATGAAGTTCACCACTAATATGTTAGAACTTTTTTTAAAAGTTAACTTTTATTTTCCTAGTAGCCATTTAAAAATATATTAACCCCCCCTCCCTGCCTTCTCCCTTAATCATGGCATTTATTGCTCAGGTTATTCCAAAATTACTGCCGTAACATTAGCAATGAGAAGTTAATAGATTAAGAAATCATAAAAATTCACAATCAAGCTAATTGAAGTTTATTGTTTTGCTAAGGCCTTTGAGATTTTATACCAAACGATAAAAGCTAGATGACATTTATGTCTGCAAAATCCATTATTGAGAAATTGCTGTGTGTGTACATATACCATTCCTTCATCCTCTTATTCATCCCACACTCATTCGAGGCTCTTACAGGAAAATATGCACCTGGCTGAATTCCATCTCCTACATCCACCACACACCTAGGTCATCAATGCATTGTATATTGACCTGCATAATTGCTTCTTTTGTTCTTACTGAGAACTTCCTAACCCCTTCCCATGTCTAACCCAGGCCACAAAAACTTTTCAGGATGGTTAGAATTGTAAGGTAAAATTTTATTTTCTTGTCTTTTCTTTTTTAAGCAAAAGGTATAGAGATTACCTGAATTTGAAAAAAAATTAGAGAAGGGGTGGTGGTGGTGAGTACCAGGAACTCTATATTTATTGATTTCATGATTTATCCATAATCAAGTTTATTGTTATCTACAAAAATTTTGTGTGGTTTTAATTAAAGTGCCCTTGGAGTGACTGGCGTGTGCAGGAGAGTTTCCACTCTACCGTAGGTGATGCATAAGCTACTACTGGACTGGCAGCTCTGAACCAATGGTAGTCCATGGCTGGAGTCCTGTGTTGAGGGTTCTATCAGTGCATCTAGGCTTTTTAAATACAGCAGGGTCTTCTTAGCAATGCCTGCTTTGTGCACAGGATTGGGATTTGCAGTATACATGGCATGGATTTAACATGCTTATCTTACATGCAGCAGCTTCAACCACTAAGACTGTTCAGCTCATCTTCATCTTTGTACCTGTCCATTAACATCAAGTTTCAAGGTTGTCAACGCACCAAGATCTGTTAGGCATCTTACTTAGACTCTTTCCTCCTCCAAATTAATTGCTTCCAAATTTCTGCTGATGGAAAGTAAGATAAATCAACTGATTAAAATTGTATTTATAATAGATTGATTTCTAGACAGAGGAATGAAAATAAGATAAATATGAAACAAAACAGATAATAAATGTTAATTATAAAATCCTGGTGGAGTGTACACAAGTGTTCACTCTGCAATTTTTTCAGCTTTTATGTTAGAAATATTTTATGATAAGATTTTTGGAAGAATTGTGCTTATGGAAATCATTAATAATCAGTGATTGCGTACATAAGAGGATTGCCTAAAAATAAAAGCATGGACTTTCATGGAAATAATTTAAAACACTGTCATTGTTCCTCAGGTTCCATTTTTGTTCATTTCTACATTTCTACATTTTGTTTTCTGTTTAAAATAGTCAAGTAAATGGCATAGAGTGGGTCATTGTTTCACATTTTTAAGATCCTTTGAATAATAGTATGGGGTGTTTTGCTACCTTGTTTGTTTTGTCTTGGCTTTATTCATTTTTAAATTTTGATTATATTGAGAAGGGAGAGACAAAGAATAGCAAGTATTTTTTTCCCTTAAAATACAAATCCAACATAAACCACTCTCCTCTTTGTCATCAAATCTGCTTGGCAGCAGTGTTGTGCCACCCACAATATATTACTCTAAAAAGCAAAGCTAGGCTAATTAATGTTGTATAAACCTAGGAGAAAATGCAAAATCGATGGGAGGAAGCTGGTAGGTATTTGAAGTTCCAACCTATTTCTAATGGTTGAATCATATTTTTTAAAAGGAATGCACTGCCCTCAAAACCCAGGGTTACAACAGCTCCTTAAAAGCCCATCAAAGACATAGCATGAATAGAATTACGAGAAATCGATGGGTCGGTTTTCTTCTCCTTACTTGAAAGACGGTATGAGTTTCTCCAGCTTTCTTCATTTATTTACTTTGGAACAGAAGGAAATATTCTCACTAAATTTAAGTGGTTCACAGAAAATCAAACTTTATGAAAATATTCATAAATTAACTAAACTGAAATAAGCAGTGTAAGTCATTTGCTCTCTTATTTTGGGGCTCTGGAAACTTCCTGCTTGTGTCAGAAAGGAAAACAAAGAGAACATCTATATCAGCATAAGAGAGTGGATTAAAAATTGGCCACTGAAGGAAACGGCAAGTATAGTTTGGCATAAGCTATCACAGCAGCTTACACTCAACAACGCCGAGATACCTGGAAACATTAACTGTGTGAAAACATGCCAGGAGAATTATGGGCCTTCAACTCCTTAAAATAACAGAATTCTGCTTAATAGATTGTTCTGCACTGCTCAGCAGACAATGACCACAGGCTGTCTTCAGTGGTTCCTATTCTGACCACAAAATAAATGGAAGTTGCGACTACCATGAGCAGGAGCTCAGATGAGAGATTCACTGAAAAGAAAGCAAATGCCTGTGGACAGTCAAGGTTTTGAAAGAACATCAGGCCCTAACTCCCGAGCTTGCCTGGCTTACAGCAATGTGATGGAAAGCATAGCCTTGGTTTCTGTGATTTTTAATAGTTGAAGAAATCTAAGTCTAGTTTCTTAAGATCTAAAAATAAATCACCGCAGAGTGTCCCATAATCTGTACACTACAAGTTATTATGAAAAGATGAAAGTAAAAGCACACTAACAAAATATAGCAGGTAAAGGAGCTGGTCAGCCATGGGATGTTGAAGAGCAGATGCTGGCATTCTCACTGGGAATCTGTCAACCCAAACTTCATCTCTGCTAGTGTAGAACCAGCAGACTTGGTGTGACTTTCAACCTGTCCCCCAGAGGCACCTGATTGCTGGAGAGAAGTTGCAGAGTTGAGAACAAGACTGATGGTTTTATCTCTGTCTGAAGATAACCATGAGAATAGCACTTACTATTGATGAAGCCACAAGCACACTTGATGAGGCCTGCAAAGAAAGCTTGGTCTCCAGGCAAGGTGGGGACCATTGCGGAAGTGAGATACAGAAAACGGAAGTGAGGTATAGAAAACGGAAGTAAGTCACAGGAAACGGAAGTGAGTTATGGAAAACAGAAGTGAGGTACAGAGGATAAAAATGATGTAAGGGAAATGGAAGTGAAGTTCAGAAAATGGAAGTGAGGTACAGAAAACGGAAGTAAGTTAAGAAAAACAGAAGTGAGGTAGTGAAAACATGAGGTACAGAAAACGGAAATGAGGTACAGAAAACGGAAATGAGGTACAGAAAACAAAAGTGAGGTACAGAAAACAGAAGTGAGGTAGAGAAAATCAAAGTAAATCACAGGAAAAGTAAGTGATTTATGAAAAAACAGAAGTGAGGTAGTGAAAATGTAAGTAGGGTACAGAAGACTGAAGTAAGGTATAAAAAACAGAGGTGAGGTAGTAAAAACTGAAGGAAAATATAGAAAACAGAGGTGAGCTAGAGAAAACGGAAATGAGGTAGAGAAAATAGAAGAGATGTACAGGAAACGGAAGTGAGTCATGAAAAACAGAAGTGAGGTAGTGAAAACGTAAGGTACAGAAAACGGAAATGAGGTACAGAAAACGAAAGTGAGGTACAGAAAACGGAAGTAAGTTACAGGACATGGAAGTGAGTTATGAAAAACGGAAGTGAAGTAGAGAAAAAGTAATATACAGAAGACGGAAATAAGGTATAAAAACGGAAGTAAAGTAGTGAAAACGGAAGTAAGGTACATAAAACAGAAGTGAGGTAGAAAAACGGAAGTGAGGTAGAAAAAACGGAAGTAAGTCACAGAAAACGGAAGTGAGTTATGAAAAACAGAAGTGAGGTACAGAAGATGCAAATGATGTTAGGAAAACAGAAGAGAGGTACGGAAAACGGAAGTGAAGTAAACAAACGGAAGTGAGTCATGAAAACCGGAAGTGAGGTAGTGAAAAAATAAGATACAGAAGACAAAAATAAGGTATAAAAAACGGAATTGAGGTAGTGAAAACGGAAGTTACAGAAAACAGAAGTGAGGTACAGCAAACGGAAGTGAGGTAGAGAAAACGGAAGTAAGTCACAGAAAACGGAAGTCAGTTATGAAAAATAGAAGTGAGGTACAGAAGATGCTAATGATGTTAGGGAAACAGAAGTGAGGTACAGAAAACAGAAGTCACAGGAAACCGAAGAGAGTCATGAAAAACAAGTGATGTACAGAAGATGAAAATGAGGTAAAAAAACAGAAGTGAGGTCTAATAACAGGAAGTGAGGTAGAGAAAACAGAAATAAGTCACAGGAAATGGAAGTGAGATAGGAAAAACAGAAGTGAGGTAGTGAAAAGTAAGATACAGAAGATGGAAATAAGGTATAAAAAACAGAAGTGAGTCACTGAAAATGGAAGTAAGGTATAGAAAACAGAAGTCAGGTTGAAAAAACGGAAGTGAGGTAGACAAAACGGAAGTGAGGTAGAGAAAATGGAAGTGAGTCACAGAAAATGGAAGTGAGTTATGAAAAACAAGTGAGGTACAGAAGATGGAAATGAGGTAATGAAAACGGAAGTGAGGTGTAGTAAATAGAAGTGAGGTAGAGAAAACCAAAGTACATCATAAGAAATGAAAGTGAGTTACTCAAAACAGAAGTGAGGTAGTGAAAAAGTAAGATACAGAAGATGCAAATAAGGTATAACAAACGGAAGTGAGGTTGTGAAAATCGATGTTACAGAAAATGGAAGTGAGGTGGAGGAAACGGAAGTAAGTCTCAGGAAACGGAAGTGAGTTATGAAAAACAGTGAGGTACAGAAGATGGAAATCAGTTAAGGAAAACAGAAGTGAGGTACAGAAAACGAATGTGATGTGGAGAAAACGGAAGTAACAGGTAACGGAAGTCATTTATGAAAAACAGAAGTGAGGTACAAAGATGAAAATAAGGTAAGGAAAATGGAAATGAGGCACAGAAGACTGAAGAAGGCCTAGAAGATGACGAGGTACAGAAGACAGAGGTGAAGTACAGAAGGTGGAAATGAGTTAGAGAAGATAGAAGTGATAGAAAACGGAAGTGTGATAGAGAAGAGGGAACAAGGTTCAGAAGATGGTCATGAGGTACAGAAGACAGAAGTGAAGTACTGAAAATAGAAATGAGTTAAAGAAGATGGAAGTAAGGTACAGAAGACGGAAGTGACATGTAAAAACACCCAATCGGTTACAGTTCTGCGTTTTCTTTATTTGAGCCTGGTCTGGACAGTTGGCCACCTCTGACTGGCAGAAACTGATTGCTACAAGAGGAGGTGACAGTTGGTTCACATATCCAGTTAGGTTACAGCCCACTATGTATGGAGAAACCTTTCAGGCAAACTTAAAATATGTAAGCAGAACACTTTATTCCATGCTTAATTTAACAAAATCATAAAGAGTATTTATGCTAATAAAGAAGACAACCAAAGCTCTGAGAAGTGGCTTTGCCAGAAGTTTCCATGCTGGTAAAATGCAGAGCCTTTATTTGACGCCAGTGAGGCTGGCAGCCGAAGCGACCAGCTATCCTGGAGTTCCTCCTGTACGTCCACGGTTAGGGAAATTCTTCCATCCTGGACAAATGGGAGCAGTCTAGTTGGTCACCCTAGTTCTGCTCTCAATGTTGTTGCTTCCCACTACACCACGACGGACATTATTCTCTCCAATGTTTTAATCGTTTTCTTCTATTTTGTGCCATGTAAAATAATTCATGATACAAAAGGTACAAAAATGGTTTGGGACAAAGCAGTATTAAAACATATACATTCAAGCTCCTGGTAGACTTCCTTTAACACACAGTTGTAACAAAGAGAGCCTCAGAACTACGCCATTCAGGACTACACACCCCTGTTTTTTTAATTAAAAAATTCTTTATTTTTATTCACATATTAGGGAGGGGGATAAAAACTTACTGCCATGTATTTTTATGGCAAAAAAAAAAAAAATCCTAGGTAATAAGAATATATGTTATTAAAAGTTATATCACTAAGAGTTGAGCTTGTCAGCTATTCAAAAGCTGCAGTTGGGGGTATGAATCATTAGGAAATGGCACAAAGGTTAGAGATACAACCTGTGACTATTTAAAGACATCACAGCCTGGTTCCCACCCTCAGGGCACAGGGAGCAGAAACAATGTGTTCATTTTGTCTTAAAAGTCCCATCAGGAGGTCGACAGGGCCAGTCAACACAGACATGTTCTAAATATTTGCCTTACGGGTGGACATAATTACTTAAAATACAAATTTAGGCTGCTAAAAATTTCAGTATACTATTATCCTGAGTTCTAGCTTCAACCTGTACCTGTATATATGGCTGCAGAATAAGGTTTTGATAGCTCACTTCTACAAAAAAGGAGAACAACATCTGTGAAAACACACAAAAGCCTAACGAGGTTATACTTTCATTCCATGGAAAAAGTGTGGCATTGATTCATTCTCAAGCTGGATTATTTCCACAATAAAATAAAATTTGCCTTCAATTTTAAAGGGAGTTTTTATTATGAGAAAAACAGAATCAAAAGGAAAAAAAAATTTTTTCACTAGGCATGTGAAAAGCCATCAAGCGGCCTAACAGATATTGGGCAAAATGCCACAATCTCTGGCGGAAAGTGCTGTCTTGGAAATAGTGTCCACTTTGACCAACACCAATGAAACCTAATGATGACCCCTATCTGACAATGATTTAGTGTGTTAACAAACTTAAATAGAATTTGACTAGCGCTAGGAAAATATAATGTGTTTCCTGTATATTATTATGAGAAAAATAAACACATATATGATAAACTATCAAAGTGAAGAATGGAAAGTTACGAAATGGTATTATTTCTGTCATCTTCTCTTGATAACAAATCAACTTTTTAAAAGCAAAGGAAAAATTGTAGCATGTATTAAATGCTTCCTGGCTTTCATTCTCTGGGTTTATCATGTCACGTCAAATCTTGTTGATTCTCCAAATAGTACCTGAGTTGTGAGCAGCACCACTCTCGTTTGCAAGTGAGGAATCCAGGCTTAGAGAGTCATTGTGCTCCCTGAACAACCAGCCTTGATATTACAACCAGCCTTGATATTGCCCAGGCACTCATTAAAATGCTCAATGTCAGACTCTATTTTCTCCTGCTAATTATCTGCCTGAAACAAGATCCCAGACAATTAAAGTTGGAGATTCTCTGCCCTGTGCCATATGACTACAATAGGCCTTCTTTCACCTCTTGAGGCTTTAAGGCGGAAAGGTGTGATACCATCCCCTACCTATTAGGAGGATGACAGTGAACACTCCTGTAACAAAAGACAGGTAAACAGGAGAAAAGTATAACAAAATTATTAATCAAACTTTACATGACACAGAGTAATGCAGAAATGAAGAGCCAAAATCTCAAGGAAAATTATTTTTATGCCTACATTCTATAAAGAACGGACAGTTGTGTAGAAATGTGATTAGACAAAAGGCTGTGATCTAATAGTGATAGAGTGAGGGGAAATCCCAGCAAGGCCTGCCTGTTCAGGTTCTTCTTGGATTCTCTGCATGCATTCATTCCTTCCTTCCAGGTATAGGGCAGGACTCCTGTGGAACAAGGATCTTCAAGGGAGAAGAGAGAGAATGACCTTTCCAGGTTTCATGGCTTGCTTTGGAAGAGAGGGGTTCTAGTGTCTATGAGCTGTGTTGGGGAAGAGGAATTCTCTTTCCTATGAATTGGTTAGGGAGTTGGAAGATGAGGGTTGAGGAAAGACACCAGGATGGGAGAAAGTCAGAGAGACCTTGCTTCTGAGCCTTTCCATCCCCTTAGCATGGCAGAGCACCATATGTGGGGGTGTAGTGTTCGGAGCCCCAACTAGGTGTTTTATCAAGTACCCAAGATTGTATTCAGTCTTCTGGAATGTGCTTGGAGGCTGGGAACCAGTGTCAGAAAGGTGCAGGTCATAAGGCCTTTTATTTTAAAAACCGAGCAATCACTGGGCTGCTCCTGTATCTACGTACTATGAATATTCACTCAAATGTAGAGACCCAGCCAAAATCTCAGCTGTTCTAAAGTTCACTGAAAGTTAATAAAAGTACAGCCTTGCCTCAGACATGATTCTAATAGCTGGATAGTAGCAAATATTCTTTGCTTGATCAAACTGTACTCCAGCTCCCTGAACCTTTTCCAAGGCCTCTCTGCATGCTTTCTTGTAAAATCCCTGCAAAGTCAGTTTAGCAAGAACCCCCCACCTCCAATATTTGATCACCTTTAATATCTGTTCAGGTTCCTCTTCCTCCACCATCCACCAAGGTGGTATCTGATCACCTTGGCCTCTCTTCAGCAGGAAACCATTAGGTCGGTGTAGCCAGCATTCCCTTGGCCCTGACACTCACCCCCACCCTGCTCCTTGGCTGTGAATTCCCCGCTTGCCCACACTGCATTCAAAGTGGAGCCCAATCTCTACCCCACTGCCACACCCCAGAGCGGTGTCTCTATGCCTATTTAAATGGTCCTGAATAAAGTCTTCCTGACCATACGTTAGCAAATCTCCTCGCATATGTTCTTTTTTAATACTAGGCATGGAAGTATTTGTTGTTTCTATTCAGCACAAGAGGATTCAGCATTTGGTGGGTAACATCAGCCCTTTTAACTTCCTATGATAGAAAGAAAACTAAAATAAAAGTTACAACATCTTTCCTAGATTAGTCCTTTATAGGAGGCATGAATAATATAAGTAGCTTCCTATTTAGTTAACCTATATCAGAATCACTGCTTTCATATTTCTTTACTTTGCAGGGTTGGGCTTTTCCTTCTTGACTTGGAAAGTTGGCCTCCAATGTTGTATATTATTTTATTTTTTTGAGATGGAGTCTCGCTCTGTCACCCAGGCTAGGGTGTGGTAGTGTCTACACAGTTCACTGTATCCTCAAACTCCTGGGCTCAAGCAATCCTCTGGCCTCAACCTCCCGAGTAGCTGGGAATACAGGTGTGCCACCAAACCTGGCTAATTTTTAATTTTTTTTTTTTGGGACAGAGTATCTGTATGTTGCCTAGGCTATAGTGTACTTTTTAATAAACAGTTTTAGGGCACAGATGAAGGTTTATATAATCAGAATCAACTAATTAAGTCAGTTAGTATTTAAAACGTTGCTTTAATCTTTAAAAATTTAGACTGACTTTAATACAATATAATTTAAAATGCATATTGACTGAATAAATTTTAATTATTAAAATGGGTTTGGGTAGAATTTGTTCTTTTTCTAGTCTTTACTTTCTAAACTGTGCTATAACTTTACTTCTCTATTTTTTCTTTTTTTCTTTTATCTTTTTTTTTTTTTTTTTTTTTTTTGAGACAGAGTCTTGCTCTGTCACCCAGGCTGGAGTGCAGTGGTTCTATTTCAGCTCGCTGTAACCTCTGCCTCCCAGGTTCACGCCATTCTCCTGCCTCCGCCTCCTGAGTAGCTGGGACTACAGGCACCTGCCACCATGCCCAGCTATTTTTTTATATTTTTAATAGAGACAGGGTTTCACCATGTTAGCCAGGATGGTCTCGATCTACTGACCTCGTGATCTGCCCGCCTCAGCCTCCCAAAGTGCTGGGATTACAGGCGTGAGCCATCGTGCCTGGCCTATAACTCTATTTCTAATACAAAATGACCTAATAAAATATTCCCAAACTGTGATAAACTATTTCTAGTTTCTGGTATGTTATTATGAAAACATTAATTGTTGCTGAGAAATTTTCTTGTGATCAAAATCCACAATACATAAAAATACAAGCATTAGCTCAACCACCAAATTTGTATGAGGGTTTTTCTTTCTGTTACTGGAGAGTAAATAAAGCATATATCTTTTCCTAGGAATGCAATAAAATCAGTCCCTCTCTCATCTAGCAGTTCTGACATCTTAATGCTTAAAATCCGTCAGATTATGGCATGAAAATACATTAAAATCAAACTATGTGATCGCTTGTTCTTAGAAAGGTTCAAAAAACGTACAAAAAGGAAAAGAGCACCTGTGGTCAATTATCACACTTAATCCTGGAGCTGCAGAATCACTATGTGCCTTTTCTCTCTGTTGGACATACGTAGCTAGGTTGTGATACTATAGGAGATTAGAAAGTAGAATCTGCATTTTTTTTCTGCTGTTAATGGATATTTGATTTAAACTATGTTCCAAAGAGATCAGATGTCTAGGGGAGGCCAGGTATCTATGGAAGAATTGTAATGGACAACGAGCTATCCTTTCCCTATTTTCTGTTATCAAATACTTAAAAATTTTCACATTATCTCAGAAAAACTTATAATAAAATATTAATAAATGGCTAAAAATCAACAGTCATTCTTAACTTTTATGGAGGCACTAAGTATTAATTTATCATAAAGAATAGAATTTAACAGAGCCAAGAGCAATGTTCAAGTTGGGGGTATGGTCTTCCCATTGCGTACTCCCAGTGAAAAGAGGTAGAAAGCAGTTCTTTTTGGCAAATCATGGCCTTGATTCTCCTAATGGACCACTACTTCCCAGCCACAGGAATTCACAGTGGACTTCAAAGCCTTTTGGGTCCCAGAGCTGTAAAGCCCTCTAGCAGTGGAGCACCAGGGTCTCAGGGTGATTTTGATCCTGCAGTGTAGTCACAAATGCTTTGAAGTAAGAACAGGAAGCAAGTTAGAAAGTGGGTCCCTTTGTTTTCCCAGCTAGGGGATCTTCTGCAGATCACAGCCCTGGGCACTCATCAGCAGCTCTCACGTCAGCAGCTGGCCATAATCTCCTGGGCAGAGTCCAAAGCCTACCGGCCCCCGCTAATGTAATTTTCTAGGGTTCCGCAATTTTTAAAAAAGCCCTCAAATGATGCTGATGAGCAGCTAGGGTTCAGAATCCTTGTGCTGGAGCTTCTTGTTTGGAATAATACGCATCTCCAAGGGCCTTATAGATAGTAAACATCTCCTAGGGCCTTATTTATTTATCCATTTGGGGAAAATGGATATTAATCCATTTGGAGAAATAGATATCCATTTTGGGGAAAAATAAGGAGAGGAATTCACTACATCTCATGATGATGTGTTAAAATCCAAACAATAAAAAAAAACATCAAAATCCCTCTGTCATCAAAGAGAGAGAGAGAGAGACAGATGCGGGAGGCGGGGAGGTGAAGGGAGAGAGAGGAGAGAGAAACGGAGGCCTTTTATGGTTTAATTTTGAGATGGAAAACTCTGACATGTTAGTGGTATTATTAAGTAGACCAGACAAATGCAGTGAGTTAATCCTGCTAGAGCACTCACACCAGAGCCATTTCCACTAAAGACATGGCTGTCCACCAAAAATCAACAACAGGGACTTTGAGGAATGACTTCTTCAAACCTATCCCAAAATGAACAAGCGGAACGGATATAACATGGTCTAGAGAAACACCAACAATCCCTAAAGGAATAGCTGGAAGAAAACAATGAAAAGCAGATACTCTATCCATGTAATTACTGGTGTACACATCACAATTTGATTCTTAGAAATCTGTGTAACATCATGTTGTTGCAAGTTGATATAGTTGCTTGAAATAATGACTGTATGTTGAAAATTCCAATAGAAAAGCCCTACCCAATATTATTTTTAAAATATATTATCTCAGACAAATCCTAATGACCTTCAAGTCATTCTTGAGGTATTTCTGAGAGGTGGCTACTTGGCTGGCATTCCTAAAAGAATGGCTTTACACCATTCTTGGGTGTAGTGGAAATTACACCCAAACAGACACCATTGCAAAATCAGAAAATGAAGCTCATCAATTTACTATACAAACCTATACAATTGGTAAATTTCCTTAAGACAAACAAAAATACCCACATTAGTGTGCCATAAGTGCATTCCATCACTATTTCCAGACAAAGGTAACCAGAGAGCTTCCACTGTAATTGTTAATACTAATTGTCGTTTAGCTCTCAAATTCTATCTTGCATAAGGACATTCGTTATTACCCTATTGACTGGGACAGGGGGATGACTTCAGTTGATTTCTGTAATTCAAATTTATAGACAACTAGACAAGCAGAACTATTTTTGGACATCTGGTATCAATGGGTACAACAAAAGAGATACCAGAAACCAGAACTAAAACATGTATGCAACTCTTCCTTGTTTACTATCTACCTTAATTTTTTTTGTTTTGCATTTGTAAGCTGCATCCCTTCAGCCAATCTGGAAAAGAGACGACTCCAGAGAAGCCCACCATAGACCCCCGGGAGCCAGATTGACCGTAGACACAGTGGCACGTGGCTCCATTGCAAGTGGGAACTCGCACACTTGCAGGAGGTGAAGTAGAAACGGGGCAGGGCAGTGCCCTCAGTCTCACAAAGAATGCACAAGCTGTCCTAGAAATCACATGGTCAGAGCTTGCCAAGGCTGCTTATATTTGCTTAGGACAGAAACAGTCCTTTCTCTCTACATTCCCCTTGTTCTTTAAATAACCCACAGAGTTGATGCTGATGAGGGGCAGAGGACACTTAGTGTTTCTCAAATCATAGTGGTAAAACAGATCAGAGCAAGTTATCTAGGTGTGTGGAGAGGCCTTTTTGATTTCAAGGAAGAGGAACTTTCTCAAGACATCATTGAAGAAATGGTGGTAAATTATAATAAAAGGGAATTCAAAATCTCTGGATTCAGAAGCAGCCGGAATGGCAGACCACCCTCCACCTCACTCCCTCTCAAGAGCATCTCCGCTTGTCCCTGCCTTCTTCCTCTTCATGCTCCCTGGCTCCCTCAGTCATTCCCATCTTGGGCCCCTGCCGATATCACGCCCTCTTATGATAAATAAGCTCCCACTTTCAGGGACATAAGCCACAATGTTTGGAGAAAATGAATCAGTGCTGCGGGGTGGTATATTGACTTCATATTCTCTACCCCCAGTGTGTCTGGCTTCAGGAATATCACACTCTGGAGAACATGGCTTACAGGATATGCTCCCAGTGATGGAGTCTACTCCTTAGTTTCACAACTTCTCTGATTTCATACTTTTCCTTCTCCTTCTCTACATTAAAACTTTTTGATTTCTTAAGATATCTTGGAGTGCTTATCAAAGTTAGGGTCACAGATAAAAGCTTCCCAATCTAATGTTATAATCTTACTCAGTTCTGTAAAATAACATGAGAAGAAAAAATGTTTTGGGTCAAATTCAAAATAAACATCATCTGGTCTTGAATTCCCATTCAGTGCTAAATATAGAACAAAGGTGAAGAATATAAGAAATGTGCATAGGCACCAATCTACCACTAACTCTATGTGTTTTGCCCCTTTATTTCTTTCAGAAGGATCTCCACATTGTTTTTGGTTGTCTCTTGACTTATTTGCTTATTTCCAGACCTTGCTTTTGGCTACAGTCCCTGACTCAATCACCATCTCATGTCTCTACCAATCTAGGAAAATAATCCCATTTCCCATAGGATGACCACAAGTCCAGACCCTTTTAGAAAGCCATTATTAACTGTTCTGCACAAACCAAAAACTGCCTTCTCCGCTGCTCTTTGTTACTTATTTTCTCACAGAATCGTACACTATTTGCATTACTAGTTAAACAAATCTCAGGAGCATATTTTGTAAATTACTGGATGATGTTTTACCATATAACTAACAGTATAGGGCATAAACAAATCACTTAATAAAAGTATGTCAAATAAATTTATATTTGCTATTAAAATGTGTGTGTGTGTGTCATTGCCAGGTTAAAACAAAACTAAACTTAAGTGAGGAGAGAATTATTTGGAAGGGCTACTGCAAGAGGAGAACCCTTCTCCCTCAGTATCTTCAAGCATCTCAAAATCAAACAAGAAAAGGCTTCATTATCTCAAGGAGGAGTAGGCATGGCTACCAGGATTTTGTGGGGCAGTCTAATAAGACTCCATGGAAACAAACACTCTGTTTTAAAATAAGATAGCAAAGCAACCTGATAAACATCATGTGGTTCCATATACCAACCCATCATTCAGCCAAAGCCTGTCACAATGTTATTTCAAAATCCTTAACAACATGTGGACAATTTTTAATATGTTATGATATATTTATAAATTATTATAAATATTTAAGATAATCTAATTTATATATCTGTATAATACAATCTATTTTAGTGTTATAATTATGCTTAATATTTTTGAAGCATTAGCAAATTTTTCAGTGTTAAATTATGGGCAAGTGACTGCTAAAGAAGTAATCTACGTCTATATAGAATATTAAGTCATTTTAATAACTCTTACTACAATAGATTCAGTCAGCATGAAAATACATATTGTAGAAAAGACCATTGTTTGTGTTACTCATCAACCTCCTCCATCCTCCTATCAAAAGTAACTGACTTTTGATTGGGCGCGGTGGCTCACGCCCTGTAATCCCAGCACTTTGGGAGGTCGAGGCTGGTGGATCACCTGAGGTCGGGAGTTCTAGACCAGCCTGGCCAACGTGGTGAAACCCTGTCTCTACTAAAAAAAAATAAAAATTAGCCAGGTGTGGTGGCGTGCACCTGTAGTCCCAGCTACTTGGGAGGCTGAGACAGGAGAATCTCTTGAACCCAGGAGGCAGAAGTTGCAGTGAGCCAAGATCATGCCACTGCCCTCTAGCCTGGGAGACAGAGCAAGAATCCATCTCAAAAAAAAAACAAATGTAACTGACTTTTTTTTTGTATTTTTTGTAGAGATAGGACCTTTGCTATGTTGCACAGGCTGGTCTCAAACTCCTCACTTCAAGTCATTCTCCTGCTTCAGCCTCCCAAAGTGTTGGGACTATAAGTATGAGCCACCATGCCTGGCTTGCAGCTGATCTTTTGAATAAAATATTTTTCCTTTAAAATTTCCCAATGTTTTGAACTATAGATTTAGCCAGAAAGAAATAGAAGATACAGTATGTAAAACTATGCATTTAGACGAATATTTGTATATTTACTTCAAGAAAAGGACATCATCAGGCCTTGGATGACAATTATTCTTAAAAAGTATGCCAATCTGTTCTGCTTTTCTGCATACATTAGCTTCTCTGTTGTTTCAAATAAGTTTCTTTTCTATGTAGATAGAATTCAGCTCGTGGCAGTGTTTCTTAAGCTATGCTTTATGTTAGCAAAATGTTGAAAATGGTTTTAATCAGATATCTAAAATAGTTTTTTATGTTAAAAATCGCTTCCAAGATAAAAAGGCCCATGGTCAAATATGTTTTAGTTTCTAAACTCCAGTTTAGAAAAAGTTCACTGCCCCTGCTGTTCTACAACACATGGAGAAGCTGTGGTATGGAGATGAATTATATAATTATTTCAGGAAATTATTTAATTTTGCCAAATGTAGTAAGTGTGAGAACTTAATAATCTTTTATAATGAGCCTGAATTAGTACACTTACAATTGAGGAAACCCCAAAATATAATTAAAAGTAACTTTAGGACATTATTTCAAATCATCTTATGTGTAGATGAGGATAAATGTAAGCTGAGTTTCAATAATATGCAGCAAATATTTCTTATCAATAATGTCCAAATCAAAGTTAGGCAGTTATTCAAAATTAAAAAGGGAGCCGGGTGTGGTGGCTCACGCCTGTAATCCCAGCACTCTGGGAAGCTGAGACGGGCAGATCACGAGGTCAGGAGATCGAGACCATCCTGGCTAACACGGTGAAACCCCGTCTCTACTAAAAACACAAAAAAATTAGCCGGGCGTGGTGGCGGGCACCTGTAGTCCCAGCTACTCGGGAGGCCGAGGCAGGAGAACGACGTGAACCTGGGAGGCGGAGCTTGCAGTGAGCCGAGATCACGCCACTGCACTCCAGCCTGGGCGACAGAGCGAGACACTGTCTCAAAAAAAAAAAAAAAGTGAACAAGGAATTTTCAAAGAACAGAAAAATTCCTCAAGTATAGAAACCTAGATGCCTCCAGGATCTTAAAAGAGCAGCTTTCTGGACACATATTCCCCCTGTGCCTGAGTGTCACCTTGTCCAGGAAGCATTCTGGTTCTCACTCCCAGCACTACGGCCACCTTGCTCCCCAAAGCACAGGTTAACCTGAAAGAGACTTCGGATGCCACGATCTGTTTTTTTTTTCCAATTCTCTCTACCATAAAACTTTTATTATAAGAAGAGAAGCCTGCTTTTTGCTGGGAGCACAGAAGCCTGCAGTGTTTTAGGAGCTCTGGTGAGAATGTGTGAAGCCCTCTAGAGTAGTTCCGCAACTGCGTGATGCAGTCCTGAGCGGAACTTCCAGAAAAGGGACTCTGCCTTTCCTCCTGCAACCCCTCCCAAGTCCCCATGCGAGAGTGCTGGAACACAGAAAAAGGAACTGGGGATGAGGCAGTCATCTCAGCCCCCTGCTATGGGCTGAATTGTGTCCTCCAAAATTTATGTTGGGATTCTAATCCCCAGGACCTCAGCATCTGACTGCATTTGGAGACAGGGTCGTTACAGAGAAAATCAAGCTAAAATAAGGCCATCAAGGAGCCCTAATCCAATAGAAGTAGTTTTCTTATAAGAAGAGGAGATCAGGACACAGGCACGCACAGAGGGACCACCCCGTGAGGACAGAGAGAAGACGCCTTCTACATGCCAAAGAAAGAAGCCTCAAGAGGAACCAACCCAGCCGACACTTTGACCTTGACTTTGAACAGTGAGAGAAAAAATCTTTGCCGTTTAGGCAGCCCGGTCTGGTTTGTGGTCCTTACTACAGTATCCCTGAGGATTCATGCACCTGCCCCATCCCTGGACTCCCCAGTGCTAGGGCGAGCAGAGGAGGGAAATGGGAGCAGCTACTCCTCTCCTGAAACTCTTGGTCATGTCTTCCCTGTGTTGGAGGAAGATGAGAGGGTGGTAAGGGGAGTGAGGTGAAAATCACATCTGACATAGGATTTTGCAAATTAAACCTTTTAACATTACCAGAAAACTGCTTAGAAGTGCTAAAAAAAATGATTTAGCAAAATATAGTAGAAAACCATCACTGGAAAAATTATTGCTAACTATGGTCCAAGACTGCAAAATAAACCATACTAATAGGTTCTTTTAATACATCAAAGAAAAGATTAAAAATGAAAATGCGTGAAGATTTGTCTGCTTCTTAGGGCCTGAACTATCAGAGGTGCAGGGTCTGCACACCAGACTCTAATCCTAAATCCTAATCCTGGGGGACTTGTGTCCTTCGAGAGAATCCCATTGGATTTCTTATTGTAAAGTCCTCAGTCTTTTCATGAATACTGAGGTTTGATTTGTAAGGTTTTTGTTTTGTTTTTAAGGTTTTTGGTGTTTTCGTTTTCAGCATGTACAGGGTGTGGGCCACCTTACTCCTGCAGGTTCTTCTCTGGCTCCTCTTGTGGCTGTTATGGCTCAGATGTTCTGGAAGTGAAAATACAGTGGCCTGAGTCAGGTGGGTAGCGCTGACGTCTGTGTCCAGGGCCCTGGAAGACCGGCCTTGGCTGCATCCTTCCTCTTGCACTCCCTGTTCCTTGGGGTCCTTGCTCTCCTTCCCTGTGGTAGGGCACCCGCCCTTTGTTCTGTTTTCACAGTGCTCTTTCTTAATTAGACTTAACATGATATTAAAACATCGTTCAGAACTATGCTGCCTGCACTCACTCACATGATGAGTTGACCCTTCCTTCAGTAATCTGTTCGTGTTCTGTGTTTCTTTTGTCCTCTCTACGTAGTTAGTCAACAGCTTGTTTACCCCATTACCAATTTTTAAAATTCAATTGATTTATTGTCGAATTCATCAGTGGTTCAGGGTAGAGGAAAGTGTATACTCTCCACCGTAGATGTGTTGCTATGCTGCTCTGTATGTGCAGTGAGGGTTGCTTTGGACATTCTAAGATATTGCTAATCATTTGGCCAGCAGGCACTGTTTCTCCACCACCTATTTTTCCAAGGAGGCTTCATGGGTATTTTCCTGAAAAAGAAAATGCATGAGGGGTGTTCGTAGGGCCACTGGTGGCTTGTGGAGCAATTTGTTTCTTTTCAGGGGAAACTCCGTATATCCCCTTCTGCTTGTATGCCTGAGCAGGGCTCTCTGACCCAACCTTTCTATATAAGTTTTGCCAAATTCAACTTGTTGTAGAGTCATTTACTATTCTAAGCATACATATTAGCAAATTGTGGGGTAAAGCTACACTTTCATGACATTTGCCAAGAATATGTTTATAACATGAAGTTTCTGTCTTCATCTCCAACAAGAAAGGCCTTCAGAGAAAATCTACCTTTTGTATCTGGAACCAATTTAATACTAAATATGGAACTGAAACTCACATCTCTTAGTTTACCCAATTAGCTTTTCTTTCTAACAACATAAATCTATTATTATCCTAATTTAAGACCAAAATGAATTCTCAAGTGGTATCTGATGACTACTAATCTCTCAAAGACATAAGTATGTTTTTGCCAAATTTTAGGTCAAACAAATACACTTAGCCATGTAAACCATTTAAAAAAGCAATGCTGGGGAAGTCTGTAATTGGAGCGGATTCAAGGATTTTTTAAACTAACTCATATTCATGGGGAAAAGTTAAAATATACTGAGGAAATACAGGGTCCGAGCAATTGCTGAATTTTATTGATAATAGGGAAGAAAAAATATCTTTTGAGAATAAATGCATTTTGAAAATAATCTGCTATTCTATGCCTTTTACTTGGTGTTTCTTCTAATAAAGAGACTTAGGATACGAGAAGCAAGAAACACAAATTTTACATCATTTTCTTCCTTTCTTTGGAAGAATTTTTTAAGACATAAAAACAGATAAACACTCATTCTTCTCTATTCCCCATTTATATTTTTATCTGACTCTTTATTGCTCCATTGCACAAGTAAATTCTGCGTCACAGAATAAAATACTCTAACTAACCATGGTTTTCCTGCTGATAATTTGGAATTTAGCCTCTGCCTTTTTTTAAGCACAAATGTGGAGTCTTGAGTGCACTCACTGATTTGGAGGGAGAAATTTATTGATAGTAAATAAAAGGGAAACTTAATATCATTATTCAGCTCACAAAATAAAGTATCAGCTTCGTACATAGATATCTAACAAGTGGCTTCTTGGGATTGATTCTTTTATTGTTGAATTACGTATCTTATATGACTTGAATCCAAAATCAGAATTAGGCAATCACCATCAGGTCCAACCCCTTTTAATGGTTCCTAGGTTGCATCATAATGGATACATCAAGAATTAGAGCTTGATGGAGGAGGCCTAAGCTTTATGTTTGGGGCTCGTCTGAAAAAACAAAAATTTCTCTGATGTTTAAATCATAGTGAATGACTTTATGGAGTGGGATGAGATAAAATTTAGTGAACTACTTGTTGACATATATTTATTGCTTTAAAATTGTTAAATAATTTGTGTTTGCCTCTTCCTGTTTGCTTTGTTTGTGGCATTTCTTGAGTTAATTTTATTAAATCACTTGCAACACAAAATTTCTAGGAGAGATCTAATCTTGGGCTCATTATTTTACCATTAGAGATCAATTTATTTTAGGAAATATATTAGAAGGCAAATAACTATTGACTCACTAACAAGAATGGCAAATATAGAAAAAGTAGACAATACCAAGTGTGGGCAAAATTGTGGAGCTCCTGGCACTCTCATATATGGGTGACAGGACTGTAGAAAGTTATTTAGCCATATGTACTGAGGTGAATTAAGTGTAACATTTCACTTTTAGGTGTAGATTTGTGTGCAACAGAAATGTGTGCATTTGTTCACCATAAAACAACCATGAGAATGTGCATAGCTACACTATTTATAATATTCAAAGACAGTAAACAGCCCAAATGTATCATATTCATATAATACTCTGTAACCATGAGAATGAATAAATGCACACCACAACACAAGAGAATTTTGTAAAAGTTCTATTGAGAAAAGAAAGCCAGGCGCAACAGAGTACATGTGCTAGATAGGATTCCACTCATGTGAAGTTCAAAAGCAAGCAGAATCAATCCATGGTAGTGAAGTCAGGATACAGGCTGGAGTTAATGACTGGGAGGGGAACAAAAGGGCTTCGAAGGTGCTGTTAGTATTTTGTATCTTAACATGGGTGCTAATTAATGCTGTGTGTTTAGTTTGCAAAAATTTATTCAACCATGACCTATATTGTATTTCCTTTCAGGGTATATCTCATAACCTCAATGAAAATTTTCATTTTAAAAAAGTGTTTTTTGGGGAAAATATGTATTAAGCAAATTCTGTATTGTGTAGAAGTATGACTGTGAAGGCTATGAAGATTTGATGTATAAATGAGGAAAGCTTTGAAATGGGCATAAAAGGGAAAGGAGAGGCACTGGAAAAAGTATATTCAACGAAACATGCCAGAGCTTTAGATGCAGCCATAGTTATCTCTCTGAGAACCACCTGGTTGTCTGAATGAGGAGAGCTGGCTCATAGGCAGAGGAAAAGCTTTAAAGAGAAATGTGACTTTTATTTCTAGGCTCCTCTCTTTGGGCATCAACAGCTTTCCCCAACAAATACCTGTCCACAATTCTATATTCACAGCAAGATGGAGTCCCCCTCCAGTTTTGTGTACTTCCTATGCTAATATTGGCAGCCAAGAAAAACAAAAGGACAGCACTCTTAAAGTTATTCACAAAAAAGGCATCAGGGTCTCTAAAATTGTCATCCTACCACCTACTTATTATTTCAATGCTATTATTTTTTAAGCCCTGAAATAAATGCCCAATTTTGGGGCTCCTGTTGGAAATCAAACAAATCTTTTTGCGGGCTACTCTCTGGCCCATTCCTTCCCTTCAGGCCTGCTGAGGGTGATGTCATCTGGACACATGGAAACTTACTGTTCCAATAAGACTCTCTGAAGTGCCCTTGGTTCTGCCAGGCCCACTGACTCAGAAGCGCAGGGTGATCAGATGACGATGGCATTCCGCGGCTGGACCACTTCCCCCAGTGCCTGCTTTGATAAAAACACATCCACAGAACACTGTTGGTCAGGAGCCTCCTGCATGACACCGAGTCACTAGTTTCTGTTTGGTTCTATTCCCATCAATATTACATGCACCAATATTATAACAAATATCTTTTTTTTTTCTTCCTTCGCCCACCCACCCTTTCCAAGTAGCCACATACTGGCTGCACTATCTAATCCTCCGAGAACAAAGAGAGTCTGTTTGGGTGCAGACATAGCTTAGGTCCTTTCCACGACACACTTTCATCAGCTGCCCGATAGATGCCGCCTTCTCTCGGATCAACCGCAGCTGTTTAAAGATTTTTGAAAAGACATAATGTGTTTCTTACAAAATTCTCCTTAGATTCAGAAAGATAGTGTTCTGATAATTCTCTTTTAGCAGGGGTCACAGAAAAGAGAAACCTATAGATCTTAAGTATAATAACTGCAGACAAAATATTTTATATTTTCAAGGAACATAAGAAATAATGACACACATTGAGAGATAGGTGTTAATATCCTTCAATGAGGTACAAAAAGGTTAAGTGGCTTACAGAGATTAAAACATCTCCTGCTAGCCCATCACTCAAAACACTCACATGATAAAATGACGGCACACAAAACCTTCAGATGTAAAAGGGATTTTCATTGTTTCTCATTATGATTGTTTTTGCTTTTATTCTTTCAACTGGAAAATTATTCCCATGAAAATTTTCAATCATTGCACATAAAAAGATGTTTAGCAGGGACTGTTCGGTACTTGGAAGCTGTGAAAATCTGCTTACGCTCTCAAAACATCTGTAGCCTCCAGTGGAGTTTTGGCTCTCTCCACCGTACTTGCCTTCCAGTAAAAACACAGGAGAGTGGCAATTTCCCTTCGATGCTGCAGTGCAAAGCTATAATCTTGGGAAGCAATGAGTAAACACATTACTGAACAGTGGTGTGGAAGAAGAGACACAACTGCCTGATTGTTTCAGTAAAAGACACAGGGAATTAGTTGACTGTGTTCTTGTAGATGTCAGTTTATGCACCCCCTATGCACACTCTTTCTCTCTTTCTCTTAGTCTCTTTTTCCCCCTCTTTCTCTCTCAGCTGTCTCCCCCATATCTCTCTCTGTTTTTCTCACACACATACTACACACATTATTAAGGCCCAACTATAGAGTGACTCTAACCATCTGATCAATAGATAGAAACAAACCAAACAAAAGCACACTTTAAACTTTATGATAATCATTAGTGCATACATCCTAAACTTCCCATTAATTTATTAGAAATAATGGAGCTAAAGAGAAAATAATATTTATCAAGCTTGTAATGTACCAGACACAAAGTTTATCTCTTTTAACACTTTAGTCTCTACAGACATGCACAGATAGTAATTGTATTGGTATCTCTGGGTTTGTTTTTGTTTTTGTTTTGAGGCATGGTTTTACTCTGTTACCTGGGCTAGAGTGCAGTGGCATGATCCTAGCTCACTGCAGCTGTGAACTCTTGGGCTCAAGTGATCCTCCTACCTCAGCCTCCTAAGTAGCTGGAACTGCAGGCATAAGCCATCATGCCTAGCTATTTAATTTTTTTTTTTTGAGACAGGGTCTCACTGTGGTGTCCACGCTGGTGTGTAACTTCCGGACTCAAGTGATTCTCCTGCCTCAGCCTCCCAAAGGGCTGGGATTACAAGTGTGAGCCACAGCCCTAGCCAGTACCTCTGTTTTTATGGAGGAAAAATTGTTAGGCTGAAAGAAGTGAAGAAGGGAGTAACTTGTCCAAGGTTTTATACATTTATATATGTATGCATATATATATATGTGTGTGTGTGCATGCATGTGTGTGTATATATTATATATGTGTTGTGTGTGTATACGTATGTTACATATATATACAAAATATTGTTATATTGGTATATCTAAATTTAGTACATGTTTATGGGATGGACAGAGATTCAAATTCAGTCATGTCTTATTGCTAAATTTACATATTTTATGCCTCAAAGCTCTAATAACATTTGGCTCTAATACGATGACTGTCCAACCTTCCATTCTTTTTTTTTGCTTCCATTCCTTATAATTTACCAATCAGTACATTCAATGAAAAATACTATTTTAATAAAGCCTGTCATATTTAAAATACTATGTTCTCTAGATGTTTTACTATAGCCATGTATTTATATTATAATTTTAAAATATTTTAAAAACATCACTTGTTAGATAATGGCTATTCATTTTATATCTACTAATTTGACATCTTTTCATTAATAAGGCACTTCTGCAGTTAGCTCATTTTATGACCTTTTACGCTTGGAAAAATCTTAATTTTACCGCATAAGTAGGGTGAAGCTCATATACTATCCTTGTTCAGGAACGAGTAACACAAGTATTAAAAAGGGCTAAATGCAGGTTGAGATCACATACGTTTGATTTCCCTTTTAATAATCTACATAAACAAAGACTTAATATTGGTTCAGTCTCATGGTTTTGTATGCTATGACTAAAGCCAATCATTGCTTCAAGGTTTCAACAAACAACGAGATTTGGGCTGAACTGTACTGAAAGAGACAACTGTGAATCGCTCAGATTCTATGTACTCTGACAGATTAAATTATTAAAAAGGAGATTCCTTCAAGAGCATCTGAAATCTATACTGTGGAAACATTCAGAACTCATCATAAGGGAAATATTTCATGTGAGGAAACATTGGGAACGCATAGCAAAGGAAAGGTTTCATGTGATGATGTAAGGAGCCGTGGAAGACTGGAGGGAGGATAAAGAGAAAGGAAGGTGAGCTGACATACAACGCATGAAAGGAAACTGTCCCCTCATCCTAGGAGTTGGAAACTGTGATGATGAGGAACAGTCATCCTACCCATCCCATGGCTTTTTTGTCAATTCCCTTTCTCATCTTCTATCTGGGGCCATCACCCTGCAACCAGGTCCTACTTCTCAGTAAAATGGTCCAGGGGTCTAATTGACCTTGTGATGAAACAGGAGAGAATACACACGTACGCATTGGCGGCCCCTTTGGTAGCAGACGTTTTCATGTATATCATCACATTTAGCAACAAAATACACCTGTGATATTCCATCTCCCTACTTTACAAAGGAGCCAGCTAAGACAGATGCCTTTTGAAAACTTCCTTTAAATTACCATCAAGTAGGCACTAGGAAAAAGCTTTCGGAACAGACTCTATCTTTCCTCTAATGTTTCAGCTCCTTCCACCATAGCACCCAATTCAAGACAAATAATTTAATTCAGAATGGTTTAGCAAGAGTCACCCGGAGAGAACAATTCTGAACCAGATGAAAAGCATTTTTCAGAATGAAATTTCAGTCTTTATGACAACCATCTGGTTTGGAAGAACTTCTTGGACATCAAAGATTTCAAAGCACTTCTCATATATACCATATGGCTATCGTCTCCTTGGCATATGCCAACAGTTCTCAAAATATGTGAACTTGAAATTCCTTTACATGCTTTAAACTTATGGAGGACCCCCCAAAATGTTTTGTTAATATGAGTTACACTTATCTTTGTGTAATCTGTTAGAAATTAAAACTGAGGATTCAAAAATATTTGATATTTTAAAATAACCATTATAAAAATATTACAGGTTAATGTAAATGATATTTTCAATAAAAGTAGTTATTTTCCAACACATGCATGCATTATTAAGCATAACACTTGTATGCTTGCAAAACTCTTGATTAATGAAAGACTGCTGGAGTTTCATGAATGCATCAGCATTCAACCTGTTCAATGCTTTGTTTCTGTTGAAGTATCTGAAGAAAATCCTGACCCCCAAGACATGTAGTTGGAAATACAAGAAGTATTTTAATAGCTAATGCATACAGTTGTGGATATTCTTCTCTGATACTATACCAAAACTCAACAACTGGTCATTTCTTTAAGATTAGTTGTGATGCAAAACTGAAATCATATTAATGAATCAATGAATTTTTTTATAATCTTGGTTGTATGACATCATGCTTTTGTAATCTACAAAATATGTTCTTTGACTTATAAAGATCTTTTAAATATTGAAATGCTTAATTTTATAATTTCAAAAAGATTATATTTGTTAATATAAACACTGACCTTGTCGAAAAAAGCCTTTAAGTATCAGAAATCTCTCAAGTTCATGATAGCAGATACAAGTTTTCTAAAATTTAATTTTCACTTGAAAGCTCCGATTACGTCACTGCCAGTTTTGTTGTGTTTTGTTTTGTAGTGAAAGGCTCACTTTCAAAAAAAATGTCTACCAAAAACCCAAGTCTGGATATCTGCACTTTTGACTGTTAGTCGTTTTTCAAGTAAAAACAAGGTCCCATGGAAAGAGAACTGGTTGACTTTGGAACTCTGCCCAATAGGTGATTTTCCTCAGGATATTGTGTCTTAGTAAAGCTGAAATACTTGACTGCACTTCCTATTTTGTCACTCAAAATAATTAAAAGAAATGTACTCAAGGGTCAAGATTTAATAAAATCATTTTTACTGCTTCATCAGGGCCATCCTTAGCAGGCATTTCCCCCTTTCTCTGAGTGCAGAGCACAGGGGAATCCAGTGGCTGCTGGCTGCTGGGTAGGGCCACTGCCTTGGTTTGTACTAAGAAGCCAGCAGGTTTACTGACTATTGCTTTTGAATTTTGGTGACAACTTATAAAACACACTGTGGCAAGTGTGGTCAAAAATCACAATTTGTTTAAGTGAATAAAAGAATGAATGAATAGAAACCACTTCTGCAGGTATGTCTTCCAGTGGTCTCACAGAGCTGCTCTGGAACATTGAGTAAAACATGTATTTATACATGGCAAAACCATACACAAGCGTGAAATCAAAAGCATCTAGTCCATTTCAGTCTTCTTTCAGTGATATTTGAAAAACACTTGGAGTCGAAAGTATTCCATCAGATGCCCTCTATTGTCTATCTGCTTGCTCCCTTACGCCTTCTGCAGTTCCATCCTGGCCCGTCAAGTTGAAGTAGCTACTGATGCCATAACTTGTTTTGGGCACTGAGTGAATTTACAACTAGGAAGGGTCTCTTGCAATGCCACACTATACAAGTCCTTCTGGATTCATTCATGGAATGCAAAATATTGTGTGATCTTAATGGTGATGAAGAATGAAGTTCAAGTTTAAAAAGTTGGATGAAAAGACTCATGAAAGACAAGGTGTTTGAACTGAGAGTTCAAGAATGATACTAACAAAGGCACAGAGGTGTGCTCCTATAATATAGTGAGTAGCACTGTAGGATGTAGGTTTTTATGGGCGAGTACACCTAGGTAGTGTGAATCAAGGGAAAACTTACATTGAGAAGTACAGGCAGATTTTACATGGCATTTGGTGTGGAGCAGTTACGAAGAGGTGGTAATACGATCCAACCTCTCTGTCATCATGCTTATTCCAGTGGCAGTGGAGATGAGAAATTAGAGACATTTGACTGGAGGGGATTACAGAAAATATTTCTCTTAAGGCCTAAGCAACTCTTAAAAAAATTAAAGTATTTTAGGCAGAAAAATGATTATTGTAGACCATTTAAAAAAAGAAATACTGGCCGGACACAGTGGCTCATTCCTGTAATCCCAGCACTTTGGGAGGCCGAGGCGGGTGGATCACCTGTGGTCAGGAGTTTGAGACCAGCCCGGCCAACATGTCGAAACCCTGTCTCTACTAAAAATAACAAAAATTAGCTGGGCATGGTGGCAGGTGCCCGTAATCCCAGCGACTAGGGAGGCTGAGGCAGGAGAATCGCTTGAACCCAGGAGGCAGAGGTTGCACTGAGCTGAGATCGCACCATTGCACTCCAGCCTGGGCAACAAAAGTGAAACTCCATCTGAAAAAAAAAGAAAAAAAAAGAAAGAAAAGAAAAAAATTACTACCATAATATCATTTTTAGTGATATAATAACTAGTACCTTTAGGGTATTGGACTTTTGGGGCCACTCTACACATTTGAACACAGCTCGGATAGTCTTTTTCAGGAGGGAAGCCGAGGAAACGGAAGTGAACAGTTTCTGGTCACAGAGGACAGATTTTCCTACCAGGCCAATGATCTGGAAACCCTGTTTCTTTTTCAGCAGGCACTTCAATTTTATTCACCAGCAACTGAGACATGCATCCCACCCCTGTTCTAAACTACCACAAATAGCAGCAACAATAATTTCAAGATGTGAGGCTACATACTGTGGGCTCTTAATTCATGCTTGTTGTTAGCCTAAAGTGATATCTCATTGGACTGAGAGCTCTCCTGATTAGCATAACCCTGCACTGCAAGTCTTCAGAGCACCGTCAGGTTCAGAGTAATTGCAGCAGCTATTTTTAGAGTGCTATAATTAAAAATAGTCTTGCGATAGAGCTACCGATTGTCCTAATGCTTTTCCTTTTTAGGGAGCCATCAATATTGCTGTTAAGATCACATATATAGTGCACTCATGATTATAATATTTGAAATATCTAATTTTTATTATTTGGTAGGCATCAAGCACTGGGGTAAAGAGTTTAAAACCATTATCTTAAAACATTTTGATTTTCATACGAACCTTAGGAGGCCACAGATGAGAAAAGTATTTTATATATAGGGAGATTTGATAACGTACCTGACGTGACAACTACACTCAGATTTCTGTGATTACAGAAATCATGTGTGCCCTTCTTAAAGGACATTTCTACCATGTATAACCATGGACATTGCAGATTAAACGATGTTGAAATTTCAAGAGTGTGGCATAGATATTTTCACATAATTTTATCATAAACTTAATAATTGCACTTACTTTTATTTACCGTTCTAGGTCAGTACCATTGATAATAAAAAGAGATTAGACAGTTATGAGGACATGCCCTGTGCTAGACACAGTGAGAAGTGACTACTTTGTCCTCTTCCATTTCACTCAATACATTTACAGTAGAAACCATTGTCAATAGTTTGTAAAGAAGATGATCTGTGTGACCCTAGTTAGTGCACGAGGCACTGTTAATAACACCTGTTATTCTGTCCATGACCAGCATGACAAGAAGAGTAAGAATTATTAGAGTCCCCATCAGTGATGCAGCAATGATGACTGACATGCTCCTTCCTGGATCCTGAGAAATAAAAATACAATCCGAAGCCCCCAGCTAACTGAACAGACCCCCTCTTGGCCAAGGGGACTCCAGGAAACCTTAAAAATGGGGATTCCAGCTCTGATGGGATAGGAGGTTGGAAATGCCTTGTTATACCCCCTGCCTCGTTGATCGTCATTAGGCTTTTTTCAATCAGCCCGTTGCAAAGAGTTGACCAGAAACCAGCCCTTTGCAAAGACTCCACCACTGATTTCAACAACTCAGGAGTGCCTTTTGTGGCTTCCACACAGCTGACCAGCACACCTTCCTGATAAGACAGCACTGATGACAGGGAGTTCTTGTGTCCTCTGCTTCATCCTTTAGAAGTCAGAGGGCTGAAAAATCCACCCTCAGCTCATGTTAATGCTGCCATGTTTTGAACATATGACCCATGAAGAGGCATGAAGCTCAATTGTTCATGCACGTTTGTCCTTTCATAAATATTCATGCTCCTCCTTTGGCTTACTGAAGATGGATATTGGGCCACCCTGTTCAACATAAATTCTTGTCTTATTCTTCCTACCCTGAATGTGCCTGTTTCTGGCTTCTGACCCAAGGCTACTCTTCTCAGCCTTATAGGCTGCCCTGTAAGATGAAAGCCTTCATGGGAAATAAAGCTCTCCTCTCCAAATTTATGAACCTCATCATTTTTCCCTTGACAATCACTGTAACTTCCAGAGCCTGGTTGTTGTCTCTTTTCACCCAATCTTAGGTCTTCCTTATGTCCCTCTAACAAAATGTCTGCTTGTAGATGTGAACTGGTGTGCTGTGTGCCAGGGAGAATTCTTGATTTTCTCTCTCTTCAGAGACAGAGTCTCACTCCATCTCCCAGGCTGCAGTGCAGCAGCAAGATCCTAACTTACTGTAGCCTCAAACTCCTGGGCTCAGTGATCCTCCTGCCTCAGCCTCCCAAGTAGCTAGTACTACAGGCATCCACTACCATGCCAGGCTGATTTTTTATTTTTTGTAGATGTAGGGTCTTGCTTTTTGCTCAAGCTGTTGTGGAACTCCTGGGCTCAAGTGATCCTCCTGTCTCAATCTCCTAAAGTACTGGGATTACAGGCATGAACCACTGCACCCAGCCAAATGCAGTATTCTAAAGATGCCCCAACCCCAGATAAAGATTCTCTCTACTGGTTATTCAATCAAACACCAGTCTGCATCCTGCTAGGCTTGGGGGTTGGTTTAAAGATCCTAGAAAGTCCTACATCAAGTACCTTGAGATAAGGAGAGCCAGTAGGTGGGGATGGCCTAATTACAGAAGAAGTAGAGAGGTTTCCCTGGCTGGCAGCAGGCATACAGGAAGCAATTGACAGCATAAGGGGACTCCCTTGATGAAGGGGGCCATGTGCCAAGGAACGTGGAGTGGGAGGGGGGGCACCAGGAGCTGAGCACAGCCTCCTTCTGGCAACCAGCAAAAAAAAAAAAAAAAAAAGAATACAAGAGCTCAGTCCAACAATCACAAGGACCTGAATTCTGCCAACAACAGAATGCATTTGGAAATGGATCTTCTCCTGGGCTGTAAGGAAAGAGCCCAGTCTGGCCAACACATTGAGCTCAGCTTTGTAAAATCCTATGTAGATAAGTCAGCAGACTCTACCCAGATTTCTAATCTATACAACTGAGAATTAATAAATCGTTATCTTGTTTAGCTGCCGTGTTTGTGGTATTTTGTTATGAGGCAATAGGAAGCCAATAGGAATAGTTTTCAATCCTACCATAATGAATGTTGAATTCAACAGTTAAAGCATTGCTTTCACAGCTAACTTTTAAAAAGTTACTATATTACAATTCAATATACTGATGTTCTAATTTATTTAGGGATAAATAGCCAGTGGCCTGAACATAACACTTACCTATAGGGTCTCTTTAATACCCCAAATTTCCAGTCCAATAAGGTTTGTGTTGTGACCATTTAGACTATCTATTATGCTAATTTCTCAAGAACTCAAATCCAAAGCATGAAAGACTGCGCACAAGGTCAGTGTTTGTGGCGTGGGATCTGTTTATGGTGTTTGATTTTAACAGACAGATCTCCATAAAAAATGAAAACTTGAGCAGCTGGGGGCTCATATCAGTATCCTGAAATCCTTCCACTGCAAATTCATTCAATGCTAATGTTGTTCATTTTGCATTCTAATCCTTAATAATGTGGTTCCTCTTTACAATAAAATAATTATTTTCCCAAGTGTTTGAGTAAAGTTAATGTTCTCGAATAAAGCACCTTTTTATTCTGTGATTTATCATATTCCTGCCTCACCAATTCCTTTCTTACCTGTTTGTACCTGCAAGGAGAATGTTGGCCCAAGTTGGGAAAACACAGAAAAGTGATTTGCCAGGCATGGTCCGGACTGTTCTCAGGCTGGGTTATGAGCACAGGTAAGCACAGAGGCCCCGCCTTTCTGGAACTTACTGTGCAGCAGCTGTTTTTAGTTCTATTTCATGGAATAAGGCACTGCCCTAGTACATGTTACCGTGCTACCAGATTTGCTGAAGGTCATACTTGTTAAAAAATCAACAGAAAAATCTTGTGGGGATGAGGCTCTTAGACTAATTTTTTTTCCTTCTCTCTAGGGCTTTTAAGAATGTTCTCAGAGCATTATCAGAGGAAATTCATATTTTTTTTCCAAAAGAGAAAATGTTTATGCAGAAAGTCAGGAATCTACAAAGACATATGTTCTCATTCTCAAAGCTAAGCAAAGGAAAAGATTCATATTTTCAAAGATGTTTGTTATTATCAAACACTTCGTGCAATACCCTAACATCCTATTTTTTTTTTCTGACACCTTCAGGGTAAAGCAGGAACTTTACAACTCCAAAAAGAGCTGAATGAATCCACTTTGTTTTCTATGTAAATCTTTCAATGGGCAGATTATGCTGGCTCTCTATAGGAAGTATAATCAGTCCTTATTTCTGGAACCATCTTAATCTGCCTCAAAAATTGTAACCATATAGACTTGGCTGTGTACACTGTCAGAACTGAAGAACTTCCTTTCTAAATATAAAAAAGTTTATTGATGAGAAAGTCAATTGTGTAAAAGAGAAGAGTCCTTTTAAGACCAGGGCAGGAGACACAGTAGGATTCTCCCGTGGGTTAGTACAGCTGGACTTTGCCAGTGTAGTTCAAATGATCCATGTCTTTGGTAGGGGGAAATAGTAGCTAACTTTAATGATCACTATATGCATGGAATAAGCATTCCTAACTATAATCTTCTGTAGTAAATAAATAATTTCATCCAATTTTCAGTTGAGAAAAAGCTAACAAATTAAGACTAAGTAACTCACTGGGCACCCAGTGATAGGAGACCCCTGAAATGACAAAAAGATACTGAAAATGGACCCCATGATTTTCTTTGCAGAGGCTTTCCATTTGATTCACCAGAATGTAAAAAGTTAACATTAAATATTACAAATAAGTGAAGTGCACTGAGCTTTTCAGGAAGAAGGCCAAGAATGAGAGATCTCTTCCCATTGGTTAAATTACAAGTTGTGACACTAGTTATAGGAGTTGGTCTCTATCTCTTTTCCTATCGGACACCTCCCTCTTCTCTAAAAGAGGGAAGTGGATTGGATAAAATGGTCTTGTCCAAAAGCTTCGGCCACAGCTCCAAGTGTCCAAGAAAGTAATCAGCATGAGGTGGGACAGTGGCACTGCAAGGGACACACTGTGGCTACGCATGGGGCATTCATTCCTTTGAAGCTGTTTTTTTATACCATACATCCATTTTATTGTTAATAGTGCCCTGAATTCCCATTGGATTGGAGAAGTATGTTATGTCAAATTTTGTTTCATATATTCAATACATTATTTATACTTCTATTTTCAGAAAATAAATTACTTGCATTTTGCTGCACTCTTTTACCTACAATAAAAATATTCTCAGACTCAGGTGTCCTCTCAATAGAGAGGCTTTGTTCAGGGGATACACAGCCATTGAGAATTATTCTACTCCATCCTGGATGTCAGCATGAAGACCTTCTCCTACCCTGCCTTGATTACAAAACAAGTACTGTCTCCCTCAATATTTGGATCTTTGTGATAATACATTTCTTTAAATAAATAAACATTTCTTACACTGTCTACGACTCACATGAAAGCCTACACCGAGGAGCAAAATTTTATGAGAATTACAGGAGAATAGAAATTGTAATTATTTAAGTTTCAGTCTCAAGTACTTAATTCACTCAACAGATGCTGGTAAATACTAGAATCTGGGGACAGTATGATGAGGAAGCAAACCAGATCGTGGTCCTCCTGGAACTTACATTCTATCGGTGAAGACAAGTATCAAACAGTAAATTCCACATTTACTTACTTATAATTGCTGTAAGTTTTCTAGGAAGATAAAGTGTCCTTTATGAGCATGTAAAAGAGAGGATGACGACAGGGAAGCCATTGACAATGTGTCAATAAAGCGATAATTGGTCTGAGATATGAAATAGGAATAGATATTTACTAAGAAGAAGGAAAAATGAGAGATAATGGGGAGGGGTGTGTTCCTGATTGAATAAGTAGCTCATACAAGACTACAAAGGCTAGAAGTGCACTGTGCTTTCCAAGAAAAGAACCAAAGTATTCTTGGAGGTTGGCTACAGATGATGGTTTGTGTCTCCCCAAGTTCATATGCTGAAACCGAATCCCCAGCGTGATAGTACTAGGAGATGGGGCTTTGCAGAGGAAAGGAGGTCATGAAAAAGGAGCCCTCATGAATGGATCAGAGCCCTTCTAAGAAGGCAGGAGGGTGCCTGCTTCCTCTCTCTGCTCTCTGCCATGTGAGGGCACGAAGAAGAAAGGAGCCAACCCCAGATACTGGATCTGCAGGTACCTTGATCTTCGCTTTCCCAGCCTCCAGAAGTGTGAGAAATAAATGTTGTTGTTTAAGCTGCCAATCTGTGGTATATTTGCTATAACAGCCTGATCTGACTACAACAAGACCAGATACATAGCGGGTAGACAAGGCAGTAAGTCTAGTAAGGCAAGCCTAGAAATCGGCCATGAGATTTTCATCTTTATCTAGAGACAGTTAAATTCTCATTCAGTTTTCTCAGCTAAAGAGAGACATGGCTTAATTAAAAAAGAAAACTTGCTGTGGTTATAAGTGGAGATTAAGTTAGTGGGAAGTGAGAGTGGATGTAGGAGTGTGGGAGAGCAATTGAGGTTGTGCACATGAGAGATGGCTTAAGTGATTTGAACAGATTTGGAAATTATGAAGTAAAATTGGCAGGATTTGGTGAGCAAATGGACACAGGAGAGAGCCAGGGACTTGTCAAGGATGAGGCTCAGACACTTGACTTGTAAAATTGAGTGGATACCAGTGCCATTCATTAGAAAAGAACTGAGAGGTTTATGTAAAGAAAAGTGTAAGGAAGAGCTAATGATCTTTAGACAAGAGAAGCCTAATGTGCTTATGAAAATGTATCAGAAAAAATAAGTCCAGAACAGTGCCATTAGAATATTCAATACTGTGCTTTCAAGAACAAAGTAGAATTAAGTTGAATGTCAACCAATATGAGACTATTTCATAGATATAAAAAGCCATATCAATGAAATATGTGATGCCTATGTTGTCAATGAAAGATAAAACAAAGCCTGGGGATAATACAAATAAGCCTAATATCTACTTTTTCAATATTTATTTTTCATTAAATGGATCTGGATGGTCACATTCATTAGTGATGGATAATACTCCTGATACAAAATTATGCTTTTTAAATGAATGAGAATAATGTGTCACTTTCTTAAACAGTCATTTGATAGAATGGGACCCTGTTATGGTTTGAGTTGTGTCCTCTCAAAAGACATGTAGAAGTCCTAGCCTTTGTAAACGTGAATGTGATCTTTTTTTTTTCTTTTCTGCCCAGCAACCATCTGTCCAACCTTGGACTTGTAATTCACTTATTTATTTATTTTTTGAGACAAAGTCTCACTCTGTTGCCCAGGCTGGAGTGCAGTGGTGCAATCATAGCTCATCGCAGCTTCGAATGCTGGGGCCCAAAGGATCCTCCCACCTCAGCCTCCCGAGTAGCTGAAATCAAAGGTTGGCACCACCACCCTTAGCTAAATATCTATTTCTTTTATTTTAGGTTCAGGGGTACATGTGCAGGTTTGTTATACAGGTAAACTTGTGTCATAGAGGTTTGTTGTACAGATTATTTTGTCACCCAGGTATTAAGCCTGGTACCCACTGGTTATGGAAATAGGATCTTCACAGCATGTGATCAAGTTAAGATGAGGTCATCGGGGTGGACCCTAATCCAGGATGGCTCATGTCCTAGTAAATAAGGGAAATGCCGAGTCAGAGACACAGGGAGATAGCATGTGATGACGGAGGCAGAGATTACAGTAATGTAGCTGCAAACCAAGGACTGATGGCCAGTAGCAAGGAGGAGGCAAGGACAGATTCAACACAGCACCAGAAAGTGCGTGACACTGCTGACACGCTGATTCCAGGCTTCTGGCTTCCAGAACTGTGAGGGAATACACCGCTGCTGTTCTCAGCCACCCAGTTGGTGGTAATTTGCTATGGCAGTCATTGGAGACTAATACATCCCCTCTCACTGTGACAAGGGAGTTTAACTTCTTACTCTACTTTGGAGTACTCAAAAGGAATCATAAAAGCAAAGGAAAAAGAAAAGACACAGCTCAGGGAAGTCTTAAACAAGAAATCATAAAAAATACAAAACTACACAGCTCAATTCCTGACATTTTGTAACCAAGCCATGTTGAACATTATTGAAGTGACCTGCCATCTGTCACTTTCTAACATCCCATCAGAGGGGACTTGAAAATATTGAATTTTATCCTCCTCTCCTTACCAAGTCAGGAAAATCCTTAGAAAAAGGAGATATTTTAAACAATCTGAAAGCTTTAATTGGCAACCTTTAGAAGTAGCATCCGAAAGCTTCAGAGTACAGAATGATTGAAGAGTGAGCTTCTATTTAATTCAAACGATTATCCTTCTACAGGAAAATATCACTGGTAAGGGATTTGTATCCATTCAGTAAAATATCCAAATATATTTGTGAGAATCTACTGGATATTAAAATAAAACTGTACCATTTTAATAGGTTTTTTTTTTATGTAACAGGTAGAAAACACACGTAAGTATTCTAAAGAATGTCTAGACTATGATGCACTTTTCTCTTCAAAATGTTCACATTTACAAACTTTTTTTTTTTTTTTTGACGGAGTCTCGCTCTGTCGGTCAGGCTGGAGTGCAGTGGAGCTCTCTCGGCTCACTGCAAGCTCCGCCTCCCGGGTTCATGCCATTCTCCTGCCTCAGCCTCCCGAGTAGCTGGGACTACAGGCGCCCGCCACCACGCCCTGCTAATTTTTTGTATTTTTAGTAGAGATGGGGTTTCACCATGTTACCCAAGATGGTCTCGACCTCCTGACCTCGTGATCCGCCCGCCTCGGCCTCCCAAAGTGCTGGAATTATAGGCGTGAGCCAACGCGCCCGGCCACAACTCTTAATTAAACACTATGAGCTGTTTAAATAGCTGTTTCCCTTGAACTAAAGGCTAGTATACTAATGAAAAAAATTTATAAGAATTCTGTATTCTGTCTCCTAAGGCATCCAACCATGTGTTTTACATTCAGTGTTAAATCATTCCATTTAAAATGAACTAAATATAGCTATTACTAAAGAAAGAAAACGGGACTGGGGATATTTATTACATAAATCATTTTCTAAAACAAATCACAGTCGTTGTTATTGTTGTATGTCAGATTCCTAGCTACCCGCCAGAAACTGAGGCCAGCTCTCTCAGCAAAAATCTCTTTCTAGGAGTAAAGTGCTGTCTCTTTAACACTTCTTCATTCTTGTATCTTCATTTATTATTTATTAAGTGTAAAATTTATCAGGGCAACCTGAGCCAGAACGTGCAATTTATTTGCATGAAAGTAGGCTCTTTTATAACTTGACTCCTTCTGAGAAAATTATAGGAAAAAAATCCCTCAGAAATGAAGTAGCTGACACATCACATTTATTAAAGCTGTGAAGCCTTCAAAGTGGATGACTTATGATTTTTCATCCTCAACAACGGTTTTGCCAGAATGCTGCTAGACTTGGGAAGGATGATTAACAGGGCAGATACTCACATTTAATGACAGCACACTACTAATTCATTCCAAAATAAGTTCACCTTCACAAGCAGGAGGAAAGAATACAACAATGAGACGGTTTTCAAGTTATCTTTTTCTAAGTCATCCATTTTCAATATAAGTCCGAAAGCTTATATGATTACTAAGTAATTCCCAAAGGATATCGTGTAAGTACTGACAGAATAAAAAAATACATTTTCTCATGAGTCTGCAACACTTTCAAATATAGAATTCTTCATTCTCACCCAAATTGATAATCAATAAGTAAGTCAAAGCAAGTAAAAAATAAGGGTTTGGTAGTATAATTACACCTCATTTTAATAGGTCATTTTAAACTCCTAGTTTAAAAAGACAAACAAGAAAATAATTAAAACTGCACCAATCGTGTTAACATGAAACGATTGAAAGACTATGTGTGCTGGAGAGCTGATACCCCTTTCTAAAACACAGACCATGATGAATGGGACAAACTTTGCTAATGATAATGCTGAAATTGGCTCTATTGACCTCAGGAAAAAAAGAAAACTATTCAATGACAATGTTGTGCAGGTGAGGCTGCTCTAAGGACAATTCTGGAGGAAACAAGTCAGCAACAAAGTTGCCGGAAGAACATCCTATATGCAAATACGGTCTGTTTCTCAGCCACCTGTGCCTAAGCTGGGAAGAACAAAATTAAGGGTTTAAAAACTCATAGATGCAGGCAATATCATCAGTATGATAGGCTTTAGTTAGAGGTAAAAAATTGAGTCCTAGAATAAATTTAATATTAAATCAGCTGAACGATTCCACTTTTGGCAAAGATGGAGTAACAAGGACCAGACTTGCCTCAGTTTCCAGAAACAACTTAAAAACCTAACAGCATACATGAATGCTGGACATTAGTAAAATAAATGAAAATGTTCCCTGAAAGAGAGAAGCAGATCCGGTGAGCACTGAGGTTGGCCTGGTTTCTTCACGGGGTTCGTCTCTTGGCCACAGAGCAGTGCAGGGGAATCCAAGCGGAGCTCAGCCATGTCCCTGCATTGGGGATATAGGGCTGAGGTTGCAGGAGGCCTGAAGTCTGTAGGGCAGAGTCAGGAAGAGGAGAGAGCAGTTCACAAGAGGCTGCAAGATCAGCAGAGGCTCCCTTGTGTCTTTACATGAGTGTTGATGAGCTTGTAAATGTGAGAAAACTATGCAAAAGAAGGCAGAGACCCAACTAAAGGGAGCAAAAAAAAAAAAAAAAAGCAAGCTCTGGGGCTGACACAGTCTCAGGAATAGATTGTGTTCCCACCAGCCAGAGCAGAAAGCTTCCTACTCCATGGACTTCAGAAAAAGCTTTCAGAAACGTATGGCCTCAGCAGCAGAGTGAAATTTTACTAGACTAACAGTTGCCTCATCCCATATCATAGAGCCTGGAATAAGACCACAAAAGGATCCAACTGTTTCCATGTAACTGATGTGCATTCTAGAACAACAGTCAAGGATACTATAAGAATAAATATATAGCACCCAATAAAGTAAAGTTCACAATGCCTGATATCCAGTGAAAAATACTGGCCATGCAAAGAAGGAGGACAATCTGGCCCATATGGAGGAGAAAAATCTATCAGTAGATAGAGATGTAAAAATGACACTGATGATAGGCTATTAAAACACTATATGACCATAATTGTATTCCATATGCTCAAGAAGCTGGAGAAAAGAGTGAGGATGCTAACTAGAGACATGCAAAATATAAAAAAGCATCACACTGATTATCTGGAGATTGAAACCAAGAGTCTGAAGCCAAACAAAAAACACTCTAAGGAAATAAAACTATTGATCAATGTCTTTCATCAATTACAAATACAAAAATTCTTAACCAAATCTAGTAAATTAAATGTAAATATAATACAAAAGGGATAATGCATGATATTCAAGTGGCATTTATCCTAAGAATTCAAATTGGCTGAACATTTGAATAATCAATCTATATGTCACTATATGAACAGACTAATAAAGAAAAAACATAGGATCATCTCACTAGATTCGAAACCAGTATTGATAAAAATTCTCAGCAAACTAGCAATAGGAAGAAACTTCAAAAATGGGCAAAAAGTTTGAATAGCTATTTCACCAAAGAAGACATGGTCAATAAGCACATGAAAAGCTATTCAACATCACTAATCACTAGAGAAATGCAAATCAAAACCACCATGGGATACCAGTTCACATCCAAGAGGATGACTATTATATAAAAAATATATAAATAAACAAAAAATAAAAAGTATTGGTATGGATCTGGATCTGGGTCTGGAGAAATTGGAACCCTTGTGTAATATTGGTGGGAATGATCATGGTCCAGCCACTATGGGTAACAGTATGGTGGTGTATTAGCCCATTCTTGCATTGCTATAAACAACTACCTGAGGCTGCGTAATTTATAAAGAAAAGAGATTTAATCGGCTCATGGTTCCACAGGCTGTACAAGAAGCATGGGTTGGGAGGCCTCAGGAAACTTACAATCATGGTGGAAGGCAAAGAGAACACAGGCACATCCTACATGGCTGGAGCAGGAGGAACAGGGTGAAGGGGGAGGTGCTACACACTTTTAAACAACCAAAGCTCATGAGAACTTTCTCATTATCATGAGAACAGCAACTGGAAAATCTGCCCCCATGATCCAATCGCCTCCCACTAGGCCCCTCCTCCTCCAACACTGGGGATTACAATTCGACATGAGATTTGAGTGAAGACAAAAATCCAAACCATATCAGATGCTTTCTTAAAATATTAAAAATAGATTTACCATATGATTCAGAAATTATACTTTTGGGTATAGACCCAAAAGAATAGAAAGTTGGATCTCAAAGATATATTTGTACACCCATGCTCAGAGCATCATTATTCACAGTAGCTAAAACTTGGAAGAAACCCAAGGATAGATGAATAATTAAGCAAAATGTGACACACACACAATAGGCTGTAATTCAGCATTAAATAGGAAGGATATATCGACACATGCTATAACATGGATGAATCTTAAGGACATTATGCTAAGTGAAATAAGCTAGACATAAAAAGATAAATGTATTATCCACTTATAAGAGGTACTTAGTGTAGTTAAAATCATAGAAACAAAGTAGAATAGTGGTTGTCAGGGGCTGAAAAGAAAGAGAATGCAAAGTTATGGTTTAATGAGTGCAGCGTTTCAGCTTTGGAAAATGAAAAAAGTCCTGGAGATAAATGGCGGTGATAGTTGCACAACAATATGAATGTACTTGATTCCACAGAACTATACACAAAAATGAATAAGACGGTAAATTTTATGTTATGTGTATTTTACCACAATAAAAATATTGAAAAAATCTATTGTATTTCCAAATTCCAAATACTAGGAGTAAACTTTCAGAAATGGAAATTCTAAAAACAATTTCATGACAGTAGAATCAAAACTATGGATCACTTAGATATAAATCTAATAATAGATATATGAACGCTGTATCCTGAAGCTCGCAAGCACTGCTGAAATATTAAAGAAGACCTAAATAAATGGATAGACACACTGCGTTCATAGATTGAAAGACTTAATATTGTTACGATATCAATTCTCCCAAAATTCACCTATAGGTTCAATGAAATCTCAATCAAAATTTCTGCAGGGATTTTTTTAATGTTTTGGTAGAGATTGACAAGCTGATTTTCAAATTCATGTAAAAATGCAAAGGGCTTGGAATAGTCAGAACAATTTTGAATAAGACAAAGAAGAAAAGTGAACTCAAAAATTATTATACAGCTATTGTACTCAAGACAGTACAAGAAAAAAACAGATTTTTCAGAGGATAGGCTAATAGATCAATGAATCAGAGCAGAGTCCAAAAACAGATCTACATAAATATGGTGAATTTAATTTTGACAAAAGTACAAAAGCAATATAGCGGGAAAATGACAGTGTCTTCAACAAATGATGTTGTAGCAATTGAATATCCATATGGAGGAAAAAAGAAATTTTAAAAAATCATAGATTAATTCAAAACATGTCGTAGGCCTACATAAACCTAGAACTGTAAAATTTCTAGACTACAACATAAAAGGAACTCGAGGTTTTCTTAGGGTAGGCAAAAATTTGTTAGATGTTAGATCAAAAGCAGGCTGGGTGTGGTATCTCACAACTGCAATCCCAGCACTTTGGGAGGCCAAAGCAGGAGGATTGCTTAAGGCCCAGAATTCAAGACCAGGCTGGGCAATATCGTGAGACTCTTTCTCAACAAAAAATAAATGAATAAAATATTAAATCAAAAGCATAATCCACAAAAATATTTAAAAATGATAAATTAGACTTCAGCAGAACTAAGAACTTAAGGTGCTTGGAAAGATACTGTTAAGATGGCAAATAGGCACATAAAAAGACACACAACATTGATAGTCATTATAGAGATGAAAATTAAAACCACAATGAGATTTCGCTATATATCCATTAGAAGGAATTCTTTAATATTCTTTAGTAATAGAATGGGAGGCAGATACATGGATAATATCCTAGTAGTTAGGTGTATATGGTGGTATGAACTTCTGGATATTCTACTTTGAGTCTTTATTTTAGTCTTTTAAAATGTTATTTTTTTCTATTGAAATAGAAAACAAGGAATTAGTTTAGATTGGGAAATAAGGTGCTTGGTGTTTGGATAGAAAGAAAAAAGTTATCAAATGTTGGGTAGAAGAGTGAGAAATTGAATGCACTCAGGAAACATATGATAAACATTGGGCAACCTTCCATATACCTGCAGTTTATGGTCATGAATTTGAGATGAGATCACTTGGCCAGGTTGCAGATTTTTCTCCAGCTGTATTAAATGCCTAGGTGCAGATACAAAGTGAGTAGGGAGCAGACTTGAAGCAGGGTGGTTTTCATCCAGCAAACATGTTGAAGGAGAGTGGCAGGAGGGCTTAGGCTGGATGCAGAGGTGTGACTACAAGGACTTGGTATGGAATTCAAGCAGGATGAGAAAGGAGATGAGGACATGCGTGACAAGGAGAGGAGGACCACAAATGTGGTAACATAAAGAGAGTGAGGTCTTTGAAAGACAAAGGATGACTGTTGCCATGGAGACACTAGAGCAGAATGAGCTAAAGAAGCGGCAGTCAAGGAATTGGGATGCGGAAACCAAAGACTGTGGAGGGGCTGGAATTATCGTTAATGACAGGCCTAGGATATAAACTTAGAGGCGAAGGGGTGGAGGAGGTGGAGGATGGATATCTTTGAGGAAAGAAGTTTTGAAAAATTAGAGGTCCAGGTTTTGCTAAGATTATTTCTATGTGTATAGAAATCAACAGTAATCAGGACTTGAATAGTATTGAAGACAGTGAAAGGAAGCCAGAGCTTAAAAATAGGAAGATCTGAGGTGGAGTCCCAAGTTGGTGAATGGTAGGCAGTAGAAAGGTGGATAAGCGGCTGGGCGCAGTGGCTCACGCCTGTAATCCCAGCACTTTGGGAGGCCGAGGCAGGCGGATCACAAGGTCAGGAGATCGAGGCCATCCTGGCTAACATGGTGAAACCCCGTCTCTACTAAAAATACAAAAAATTAACCGGGCGTGGTGGCGGGTGCCTGTAGTCCCAGCTACTCCAGAGGCTGAGGCAGGAGAATAGCGTGAACCCGGGAGGTGGAGCTTGCAGTAAGCTGAGATCGTGCCACTGCACTCCAGCCTGGGCGACACAGCGAGACTCCGTCTAAAAAAAAAAAAAAGAAAAAAGGAAAAAAAAAAAGAAAGGTGGATAAGTATAAAACTTAGAGAGTGTGTGCATATGCGTGTGCATGTGTGCGTGCATGTGCATGTGTGTGCATGTGTGCGTGCGTGTGTGCGTGTGTCTGTGCATGCATGTGTGTGCGTGTGTGCATGTCCGTGTGCGTGTGTGTGTGTGTGTGTGTGTGCATGTATGTGCTCACTTAAGGGAACTGGATGATTCTAGGGCCAAAGTAGAGAACATTGCAGACAAAAAAGTGTCCTTGTGAATTTACATTTCACAATTGAAACATTAACACAAAATAAGCACATTTTAATAAGTAACCAGTTTTATTTATACCTGAATACTTGCTTTAACCTCGTGGGTTTAAAACATGAGGCCAATATGTAATTTATTCCAAAATCTGGGGAAATAATTGATGGCACCTGAAAGTGTCGAAATGCTGTATCTGCAGCATGGACTCTGATGTTGCAATTCATTTGCAGGGTTTATCATGTACTTTATTAGTTCTTGACAAATAAGGAGGACTCAAACCTAGCTTCAGTACACCCAACAACTGGCTTCCTGATTGTTACACTTGGAAGAGAATTTCACTGGCAGTGATTGCTTAGAATCCCCCTCACCACCAAAAACAGATATCATGAAATTGACAGCCAAATATATGCTCAGCCAATGTGTTAGATGATCACGAAGCAAATCTTAGAAGTGGCATTCTTGTCTTGAATAATGAACAGATGTCCCCAAATACAGTTGCTCATATTTTTACTCCAGCTTGGAGTGTCCTATCTCCCCTATAGAAAACCTGTTTATAAAGTGGAACTAAGCCCCATCTACCCTAAGAAGCTTCCCTCCCAGCTGTTGCACTGCTCTCCCCCACTGCCACACCGCTGGTCTTTTTTTCTTTTTTGTTTTCTTTTCTTTTGTTTTCTCTTCTTTTCCCTTCTCCTTTCTTCTCCTCTCCTCTCCTCTCTTCTCCTCTATTTTCTTTCTTGAGACAAGATCTCACTCTGTCCCCCAGGCTGGAGTGCAGTCGTGCAATCACAGATCACTGCTGCCTGAACCTCCCAGGCTCAAGCAATCCTCCCCACCTCAGCCTCCCAAGTACCTCCAAGTACCTGGGACTACAGGTGTGCACCACCACGCCTGGCTAATTTTTAATTTTTGTATTTTTTGTATAGATGGGGCCGCACTGTGTTGCCCAGGCTGATCTTGAACTCTTGGGCTCAAGCAGTCCACTCACTTCGGCCTCCCAGAGTGCTGGCACTTCAGGCATGAGCCACCATGCCCCGCCAACATGCTGCTCTCTATGTAAATACCTGCATAATTTATTGTCTACTTTTTTTTCATTTTGAAAATTTATTGTAGTATGACTCATTTATTACAGAAACCACTTATTGATACTTATATTTACTGGGCATTTACTACGTGCTAGGTCTTGCTCTAAACACTCTACATAATTTTGTCACTTACTACATTCCAGGCCTTGCTCTAAGCACTTTACATAATTTTATTTAATTATTTACTTCTCACAATAAACATTTTTTTTTTTTGAGATGGAGTCTCGCTGTGTCCCCCAGGCTGGAGTGCAGTGGCGCAATGTTATTCTTATCATTGTTTCTAATTTCCAGAAGTGCCAATTTCTTTTTAAGTTAACTCAGTTAAAATTGTCCATGACCAGGATTCCTGGATGTGAGATTAATTTTTAAAACTGGCAATACCAAAAGTGTGCAAAGACGTGGAACAATGAACACTTTCACACACCACTGAGGGGAACGCAAACTGGCATAGTCACTGGAGAAAACATCTGGTTACTATCTAGAACTAATAAGATTCACTCTTGCCCAATCGCTCTTGTCCAAGCGATTCCATCCTTGGTTTGGACCCTAGACACACTCTTGACCTTGTGCAGCCAGATACACGCAGAAGAGCATTTGCATCAGCAAGGCTAATGCTCAACAACCCTTGATGTACAAACATTGTGGAATAGATACATAAATTACAGAAGATTCAAATAATGAAATACTACACAGCAATGATACTGGAACAGGCAGCGACCTGGTTGAAAGTGACAAACAAAATATGGAATGACAGAATCAAAATATGAAGGGGCACATACCATATAATTCCACTTATAGAAAGGTAAAAAACAGGCAAAAATAAGGAATGCTTATACAGGCAGGCAAGCTAAGGTAAAGCCAGGGAGATGTCTTCATAATGTAATGAAGTGTTCTGGTAACCAGGGAAAAGAAGCAGGGTAGGAGTCCTGGTGCTATTGCAACCTATCTTGAGCAGGTTACACTGGAGTTTCCTTTGCAACTCTTACCCTGTCCCCATTGTGCCCATGTCTCTGCACATTATATTTCACAAACAAAGTTGTAACTTGAATACAAGCTCATGCAGTGGGTGAGACAATGCAAAATATTCATTCAACATCTGGTTGATTTGACTAAAGACAAATTGGTGATGGTCAGTGGCTCATCGCAAAGGCAAAGCTGATTGTGAAATAAAAACTACAAGTTTAGCATGTTAGCTTTGAAGGGGGGCTTTCTACTTCCTGGTTGCATTTGTACTGTAACAAATTCCCCTCTACAAATATCCTTTACCAGACATTGTAAAACTTAATGGGAATATGACAAACTCATTTGTAAGTGAAGCTTCGTTTTGGAACTGAGCTAATATCTACAGAATATTCTTGTTTACGTTATATTAGTTACTTCCCTATAATTTCTTCACATTATAAGCATACTGTGATAGGAAGGTATAAATTATTCCCAAGACACAGAAAGAAAAGTTTTTAAATTAATAAATAAATTTAAATGGAAATTTTACTTTGACATTATTTATCCCCTTGCTTTAAATTTGGGCAAGAGAATGTGTCTAGAATGTGGAATGTTGTATGGGAAAACACTGAAATCAGGTGATAATTTCCTGCTTTTAAGAAGACAAATAAGATAGGTCTTTTGTCCTAACACTATGCTATAGATTGAATGTTTATGTCCATCCCAAATTCCTACGTTGAAACCTTATTCCCTAATTTGATGGTATTAGGAGGTAGGGCCTTTGAGACCCAGTTAGGTCATAAGGCTGGGGCTGTCATGAACAGGTTTAGCGCCCTTGTAAGAAGACACAGAGAGATAAATGATCTCTCTCCTCCGTGTGAGGACACAGCTAGAAGGTGGCCATCTGCAAAGTAGAAAGAGAGCCCTTCACAAGGAACCAAATCTGCCTGCACCTTGAACTTGGACTTTCTAGTGTTGAGAACAGTGAGAAGTAACTGCTTGTTGTATAAGCCACACAATCTATGGTATTTTGTTACGGCAAATTGACTAAGACTCACTGAAGGGCACAATGGGAAGGGAAAAGGCAGCTAATGCCATGGTTGAAGTTGACTATCACCATGAGAGAATAAGTCGCTGGTACACAAGTATGAGTCTGACATTGCATCATCCCAAAATAATTACCATTGCAATTTCATAATAATTTTGTACCCAAATTTCCAAAGTTGGATATTTTAGTTCAAGAAGGATAATTCCCCAGCCCTGTCAGCTGCAGAATTGCTCGCGCCGACACGCTTCTCACATTTGCAACCCCAAATAGAGGCTCAGTTCCAACTGGCACATGTATTGATATTATAAGCCTTTTGGTGCACAGCTGAATATAATTCAGGCAAAGATTTTCAGAAGTATTTTTTAGAAGAAACTTTGTGCTGAGGATGTACTGCTTGAACCATTATAAAAAGCACTTTACTAAAAATGATTTGGCATCCATAGCAGTAATTTAAAACTTATTTCATAAACTTAAAATTATAAAAATAATTCTTCTTAGAATAACTTTAATGTCTTTAAAAGAAGATTGATTGAGAGAATAAAATATGTTCCTTTTTCTCTTTCTCTGCCATATCTTCTTTTCTTTATATTTTTATGAGTATGTATTCCTTATAACATTGTTATTTATTACTTGAGACTGACTTATCATGAATACTAAAAATCATTTTGGAATTTTACCTCATTGATGAAAATCTGATGTGTCACAGTTGATATGTTTTTAATTCATCCTCATAAAATGTGAAACATCCTTTGAAGAAGGCTTTTTAAAAAACATCCATATTAAGTATGTAGAATTCAATATACTTAGTAAAAGTTATTTTGTTTTCTGCTATAAATTCCAATATACCAAATATTTTAAAGAGATTAGAATTATGATTTCACTCGATATTTATTTTTCAATGTTGCATTATTATTTTTATTTAAATATTTTTGTAAACATTGTAACTTGGCAAGTTAAAATGGTCTCATTAAAGGAATATACCATGCAGGCTTAATATTTAAATTGCTTTAACTATTTTCCTACTTAACTATATAAAAGTTCTTAAAATTGCACATATATACAATTAATAGTTTTTACATACATTATTATGAGCACATGTTTTCATGTAGCAGTAATACATATGTATACTTCAAGTGCTCAAAGCGGTTTTTGTATATAAAATACATAGAAGATTTTTTTCTGGAGGTTACAGTTGCATTTGGTAGTTAATATTTAGATATTAACAGTAAATCAGAATAGCATGCCTTTGTCTAAATGACTGATGTTTGCCCTGTTTAGATCAGATGGAAACCTAGAGTCTCACAACCATTACTCAAGTTCATGTTCAGAGATGCTAGAATGACCATGGGGATGCTTTCTGTTTGGCCTCCCAAAAGCCAATGAGGACAGGAAGACCTTGGCAGAACATTGAGGCTGGCAGTAGACATCGATACTTCTGTACTTTCAATATTTTAAAATACATATGGGCTCAATGACAAAAACATCTCTGAAAATATATACACCATGCAGATTTTGTTCTTAAATTTTTCTGAAAGTATCTCACATTGAAAAAAGAAATTCTAAAATACAGAAGATAGTCTGTCTGCCTCCAAATTGTACCAAGACTGGAGTGCCTACTAACCTAAATGGAAAGAATGATTTTATAAAGATTTTATTTAAAATAATTATTATTTTTCCCATAGAATCAATACTTACTAAGCCATCACCTTTGGAGCTACTGCATTCAGTCTAGAGAATATGTCTGGATCAATAGGGCACTCAATCCCTTTTTTTTTTTTTTTTTTTTTCTGAGACAGAGTCTCGCTCTGTTGCCCAGGCTGGAGTGCAATGGCGCGATCTCGGCTCACTGCAAGCTCCGCCTCCCGGGTTCACGCCATTCTCCTGCCTCAGCCTCCTGAGTAGCTGGGACTTCAGGCGCCCGCCACCATGCCCGGCTAATTTTTTGTATTTTTAATAGAGACGGGGTTTCATCATGTTAGCCAGGATGGTCTCAATCTCCTGACCTCGTAATCCACCCGCCTTGGCCTCCCAAAGTGCTGGGATTACAAGCGTCAGCCACCGCACCTGGCCTCAATCCCTTTCTTTAAGGAACTTTCAGAATGGCAAAGAAATTAGAGACAGTATTTGGTGTTTTGAAAGAATAAACTACAACCTCAGCATTCCATTAGTTCTATATTTCATTTATAGTTGAATCTGAAACACATCTAATACATGCACATACATGCACATAGGCTAACGTATGTGCAACACGTCTGATAGCCATTCAGCGTCCCTAGATATGCCTGTTTCCGTAGTTTCTGTCAGTGGCTTCTCTGAAAGTCTAATACCTGAGTTGATCAGTTGTTTAACATTTTAATAGCATTCCTGCATATGCATATAAACATGCATTCAAAAATAAATTGCTTTCAGGATTCTTTTGAAATATGCAAATAAACCTTTTTGTTGGCAGTCACAGACACAACAATTTTCCATAAAAATAAAACAGATTTTAGGAACTGATTTAGAATTCATTGTATACAATGACTCAAAATTGGGCATCCCATTCCATGGTTGTTCGAAAGCAAAACAGCACAAAGAAGACAGGGAGAAAGGGACAGAGAGACATGCAAGTGTGAGCTACAACTTTGAATCTACCTTTACATTCTGTGTTTTAGTTTTATCTGTTTATGTTTGCTCCATGTTATTTTACCTGGCTTGGGAGATATGTCACATTGTCTGTGGAGCCCCACGCTGAAGATCAACTCGAAACTCATTAGTAAAATGGGTGTGCACACGTACAAAATGAGGACGCCCGTCAGAAGCAAAGAGCAAGACACAGTTATCCAATGATCCTAATGCTATCCCAGGAATTGTTTCTCTCTTTAAAACTCCGATTGCTTCGTCTTTTAACTTCAAATAGAAAGAAAAATAGCCATTCATTCCCACATATATCCATTTTGTAGGGCTGCCATAGCAAGATACCATAAACTGAGTGTCTTAAAACAACAGAAAAATATTATCTCACAGTTCTGGAAGCCAAGAGTCCTAAATCAAGATTTGTACAGGGTTGGCTCCTTCTCGATTGCTCAGAAGGTTGAACTGTTCCTGACCCATCTCCTAGATGCTGGTGGTTTGCTGGCAATCTGGCATTCTTTGGCTTACAGCCGCATCGTTCCAACCTTTACCTCTGCCTACTTCTCTGTATTTCTGTGTCTCTTCTCCTTTTAGAAGGATATCAGTTATACTGGATTGATTATAAGCCCATCCTACTTCCTGTATGACCTCCTCTTAATTTGATTACATCTACAATGATCAGTTTCCAAAAAGGTCAGATTCACAGGTGCAGGTAGGATTTCAACATATCTTTTTGCGGACACGATTCAACCCACTTCGTCACTGCAACCTTACCACAGCACACATATTTTAAAAATACGTGTTATCAGATGCAAGCATCCACTGAAGCTCAGGTAGTTAAGACCACAGTGCAGTAGGCAAGCCCTTCGAAGTCAAAGACAACTACCATCAGCCATGGAGCTGGACAAGGCAAACGTCCCATGAGGATGCATGATAGGGAACATGAGGACGCTGAAGGACTGTGGCTCCTTCAAAGACACAGCCATACTTTACGCAGCCGGCAGACAAACTAAAGTCACCTTGTTTGGTTTTATATTTCTACTATAGAATTTGTAAGATTAGTTCTTTGTTTGGGTACAGCTGATAAGAACATGATAAATAGCCTGAGGTATTTCAATAACCTGCCATAGTCTAGAGGTTCATGCACAGGGAATTATGAATGAATTATTTGTGATACCACTTAACATGGGAAAACAGTGATATTGAAGAATCAATTTCCCTTTGTTTGCGGAGGACATGGTGAAGCAGGGAGCACCTTCCCTCAGATAAACTAAGCATTGAATTCATTCAGAAAAAGCTGGGGGAGTGGTTGGGAATCCCTTTGTTCAAGGTAGGCCTTAAATGTCAGAGGAAAATTGCTTTAGCTAACCAATTGTTCCTTAGATGTATCTCCATTGAAAGCAGTTGATTTTTTTTCTCTTAGCATCTGTCTTTTTCTTGCCAAATTTTACAAAAAGATCACTATCTCAAACACCTTGAAAGATAATACACATTTTAAAAATGGTATTCATATTTTAGTAATTTCTTTTCAGAAAAAGAAATGATCATTTAGGAAAATAATATCTGTTAAGACAAGAATAGTTAATGATGGCACTTTCAAAAAGTTAACTATCATTTTTGTTAGTGTTTCCAGCTTCCATGGCTAATGTTTTTCACTATAGTCTCAGATTGAATTCCTGGGAGGAAATCCTGCCATCCGGTGCATCCTTTTGCCCTGAAAGTTGGAAGTTACAAGACAGCCTGGAGGTTGCTGCCTGGGATCATGAGCTCTCCCTGATCCCACATACGTAGCAATTATGGGTAGCTCTGGGCATCTCTCTTAGCAGAACCAGGCAGGCACCTGGATGGACACGTCTAGGATAAAAAGAGTCAGTGCTCCTGTTTGTTTTTGAAGGATATTTTTAAAGATTTACTGCATACCTTTCTCTGGGGTGGAATATAGATTCTTGCTTACTGTATTCAGGCACCATGCCCACGCTAAGTGCCCTAGAGATGGCAGCTGTGGCCACTCAGGTGTGGCGGTAAGGGCAGGCATACTGGCAAGGAAGGACTTCAAGAACACATTTCACACGGTACCTGTGATAAAACCCAGAGGCAGGATGCTCCCAGCATGGGCTTTTTCCTTCTTAACCGTGGATAAGGAAGGACATGTTCTTTATAATCTTAGGAGGAAAAAGCAGAACAAGGAGCAGAAGCATCTGAACACATGAAAAGGCAATAATTACACTTTATGTATGAGAGACACACGTAGTCTAGCTATGACAGCAGAGTGGCTGCACTGGCATAATGGGAGCAAACTGAAGTTGTATAGAGTAGTAATGCTATGTAAGGAGACTCCAGTACATGCAAGGAAAAGAGGTATCATTTTAGTCCTCTTTGCCATGAAGGAGGCGGGGGTCGAAAAAGAAGAATGCAATCCTTATATCTCTCAGATTCCCTTCCTTGTCAGAGAGAGAAGTGTCCCCTACATAAGCATGGCCTATGTTTGAAACCGGAGGCGTTTAAGAATAGTGATGTGGTTACACCATGGGGCAAAGCGGGAACCCAGGCAGCTCTGTGAAGAGGGAGTCCATGACCTAGTCCTCCAGAGGGTATGCAAATGGGGGTGAGAGCCCCTGAGGTCAGGAGTTCGAGACCAGCCTGGCCAACCTGGTGAAACCCCGTCTTTACTAAAAACACAAAACTTAGCCAGGTGTGGTGGCGGATGCCTGTAATCTCAGCTACTCAGGAGGGTGGGGCAAGAGAATCGCTTAAACCCGGGAGGCAGAGTTTGCAGTGAGCTGAGATCATGTCATTGCACTCCAGCATGGGCAACAGAGCAAGTCTCTGTTTTAAAAAAAAAAAAAAAAAAAAAAAAAACGCCTGAAAAGAACTCAAATCAGAGAGCGATTAAACAAGAATCCTAGTGAGGAACATTTTTCCTTGAGGCCACACCCTGTTGGAAACAAGGAAACAGGAAAGCCAGCTTGCCACCAGGGTTGCCTGAAATGATCCCACTGGGGAGCGAAAGCAAGCATGAGCCCCCAATGCTGTTCCCAAGCTGATGGAGATGGTAGGACTAAAGGAGAAATACTTTTTTTGTGTGCTGGATTTCCATTTCCTTTCTCTCTACTTTTAACATCACCACTGTCTTTGCTTCAGTAATGTCTCTTCCTGACCCTTTGTGAGTGGCTGGTGCCTAGGAGAGAGATTCTGTCTGAGTGTGGATTGAGCATTGGCCTGAGCAGGAGAGACTGGTCCTGTGCTGAGTGGCACGGCCTGACATCCAGTCATGGCATAAATAAAATGGTAGACTTGTCTAATTTTGAAAGTTTTTTTACGCTTTCCAATTATAAAAGGGATTGAGTCAGTTCATAAGTGAAAATGCAGTGCAAAACAACTAAACATGTCATTTGGAGATTTGCAAAGGGCTAAGACGTTATCTAGAAGCAGCTGAAGGATAAGATTCCTACCTGTGATGAATGTGGGAGACTCAAATACGTGTAGGATTCTTGGCCTGAAGACAATTAGGAAGAGGCAGATGCAGAAAGGTTCTCAGCCCTCCTATTTGCCTAAAAGCAAGACACATTTATGACAACAAAAGGTATCCTGGCTCTAGACCTCATGCCCCAACCATGCTACCAAGAAGAACAAAGTTAACCACTGAAGACCACTTTATACCCTGTGGACCTGGAGATTGTTCCAGAAGAATCTACATGGACAAGCTTCACTAACCAGCCTTTATCTGCCACTTGTTTTCCTCCCCACAAGTTGCTGCCCTAGAGACTCAATGTCCTTCTCCTTTAGCTCATCGCCCCTCTAAAAAGTTACTGTTCTGTTTTGAAGATGCTATGTAAGCTGGAACCCAAAGCCATCTCTTTGATTGCTCGTTATCTGGGTGTCTCCCATGTATATATAAAATATAAATGTTCTTGTCTATGGAGTTCTCCTTTTTTATTTCAATACCTTTAGGGGTACAAGTGGTTTTTGGTTACATGGGTGAATTGTATAGTGGTGGTTTTCTCTTGTTAATCTATCTTTTATTACTGAGGTTCATTCCCTACCAAGAACCTAAGGGGGTTATTATTTCCCTACATGAGATAATATTAGAGATTACAATTGTGGCTTCAATTTGTTTCTATGATTTAGAATCAATTTTTTTTCAAAGTCCCTTTCCACAAGTTTTTTTTTTTTCCTAATGAGAGAAAGCTTCAAATGTGCTGAGAGACCTGTGCTCTTCTGGATTAAATTTAAGGATGAAATTATTTTACTGATTTGAGAAAATTGTCACTGCCTTATAGTGTGTGCAAATCACAGGTGGCAGCACTGACTGAGCTGGGGCTGATGGTCGGCACGGTTCTGCCCAACACTGAACACAATTCTGCTGCCACAACGCTGTGCTCATCACAAAAACCACATAATGTGTGGTTAGCATCTCAAAGCTCTTCTCTCCTTTGTAGTCACAAAGACAGCATGTGAGAGTCCAGGATGTTTATTAACAGACATTCAAAGCACATATGTCACCCAGCACAGTGGTTCTCTCCTGTAATCCCAGCACTTTGGGAGGCCGAGATGGGTGGATTATTTGAGGTCAGGAGTTCAAGAGCAGCCTGACCAACACGGTGAATCCCCGCCTCTACTAAAAGTACAAACATTAGCTGGACATGGTGGTGCGTGCCTGTAGTCCCACCTATTCGGGAGGCTGAGGCAGGAAAATCATTTGAACCTGAGAGACGGAGGTTGCAGTGAGCCAAGATTGTACCACTGCGCTCCAGCCTGGGCGACAGAGCGAAACTCTGTCTCAAAACAAAACAAAACAAAAACAAACAAACAAGAACAACAAAAAAGCAAAGTACATGTGTCACAATAAGTTAATGGTAATGATTCAACCTAGAACTAAGTTTATATTAATATATGTTTAAACCTGAAAATGTGAATAGCTCCCTGACTATGTACAATGGAACTACACCACCAGTTCATCATGGCAAAGGACTAACTGGCAGAATCGTTAGGCCTAGAATAACCTGCTTGTTATTATGTTAGTGGCAAGATCATTGATATTCAGTCGCTCACATCAAGGCAGTAGGAGTTTTTCAGATGCCCGTGTTTGCTTACAAAGCGAATACGTATCACTAACTGGTAGGTGTGGTGATAAGATGCTGTGGAGAATGGAATGGGAATGCTAAGGCCTGACAGTGTTGTATCTGTGGTGGACTCAATTCTGATGAGAAAGAGAAAGCAGTGAAACAGAAAGAACTATCAAGATTTTTAGAAAATGTACGTTTATTTTGAGCTTGTAATTTGAGAATTGGTAACATATTTTGTTACCCTGGGGGACATTTCTGCATCGTTGCCCAATACTAAAGAATTAAGGAATTCACAGCCCAATGAAAATACACTAGTGCTTTGTGCAAATGTGGTTTTAGAAAGACAACTTTACAGGGATACTTTCTCATTTCTGTATCCTAACGTGGTGATGAATGGGGCTTTTCTTGTGGACATTTTTACCCTGGTTAATTCATTTATTTGGTGAACACCACTTTTCCTACTGGAAAATCTGGGCTTCCCCCATCAATGGTGTGTCACTGGGGCTAGGATCTGTGTGTGACACAGGCTGTGGCTGCTGACCAGCTGCGTGGAACCTGAATGGCCAAGCTAGGGTGTGCTGGTTGTAGGTCACCAGCTGCATGCAGTAATTAGAAACACTTACTCCCTCGGTGCAATCGGGTCGAGGGCAGAGTTCTCACAAGCTATTTATAATACTGCAGGAATTCTCTGTTCTCAACATTACCAAGGTTTATATAAATGGTCATTAGGAAAAATTGACTGTGCTAAAGAAAAGGACATTCTGTACTTAGAAGTGTTTTTGCATGGATTCCAAAAGGGATGAGAGGAAGGGGAAGGGAAGACAGGGAGAGTCTCACATTTTTGGAAAATCTCACATACATAAGGCTTCCATTAAAGTAAAAGAAAAAAGTCTGAACTGTAATTAATATTTCCAAGTTGTACACAGCTAGTGTAGGACATGGAGTCTTCCATACCCCAAATCTGAGAATATGAAAACATCAAAAAGAGATTTTGACCAATCTGAGGTTTTAAACAAAGGGTATTTTACACCCGCATTCTGTTTTTGTACAACCTTATAGACTTCTCTGTTTATAATGTTGTTTGTAGTTTTAGCAATGTTTAAATTAAAATACAGTAAAAATCCTTTGTATGTAGTTCAAGGCCTAAGTATACCTGTAATATAGTAATGCCTTCATTTTAGTGAAAGGCAACAGGGTCATAAAATGTAGCACTGAAGTTTTATCTTCTCTTCAAACTGCTCAGAAATGTCCCAGTGGAACTGCACTCTAACACCACTTGGACTCTCATTGGAACCTCTGGTGATGGTCTTTTTCTTTTTCAAAGGGTTTAGTAATTAAAAGGGAGTTTAGTAATTAAACTCCCTTGGATAGTACTTTAAAGAAGTCTTATTCTTTATACTAAAGTCTACATCTAACGTGAAATCTTTGGTGCTTCCATGAGGTCTAGTGCATCCAATAATGTTAAAATAGTAGTTAATATTTACTTGCTTCTCTAGACACTAATAAAAAAAATTGTAGATTTGCCATAGAAAACTGAAAGCCACTGGACAGCATCATTGTGATACATGGTGAATGCTGTCTTCTATTATTACAAAGTGTGTGCGCTTTATCAAGGGAAATTGGGTCCCTCGAGCAGAAGGGCCCCGCCTTTGGCCCTCAAGGAGCTGCAGTTGCCTTTTTTGTTGTTGTGTGTTTGTTTGAGATGATGGATCTTTTATTTTTTTTAATTTTTAATTTTTGTGGGTACATAGAAGGTGTATACATTTATGGGATAAACAAGGTGTTTTGATATAGGCATGCAATGTAGAATAGCCACACCAGAGTTTTGATACAGGCATGCAAGGTGGAACATTCACATCAGGGTAAATGGGGCATCCATTGCCTCATACACTTGCATCTTGAAAATCTTGTTGATCGTGCCCACTGCTCGCTGGCCTGTGCACTTACCCATGATAGAAAAAGACCCCTAAAACAAGGTGCAGCCATAAAGAGCCACTGTTGCCTGTTTCTCCTCAGGCTGCTGGCCTGTTGTCTCTGCTTGCAGGCACATTGGGTCCCCAGATCCCTGAGCCAGATGTGGTCACGGGTTCTGCCTCTGCAAAAGTTAACACCTGCCGCATCCTGAAGATCCAGTTAAAACTGGAAATAATATTTCTGAAGGAAGAGTGTTCCCTAAGGAAGGAGGACATGCATTCCTACAGGATAAATTTGCAACTTAGGGCCAGGAAAGTGGGGGAGATGCTATGACGTTCATTTGGTCTAGACCAAGGGTAGAGCTTAAGGGAGATGGCAGAAGGGTCAGGGTCAGCCCAACGCCTGACGCCCTGACATAGGGAGGTTTCACCATCAGGACTGTGGGAGGCAGGGCAGGGTGTTAAGTAAGGGAATAAAAACATAAAATGTACATTTAAAAAAGAACACACTGCTTGCAGAAATAATAAACCTAACAGAGCAATAAATCAAAACAGGGTAACATTTTAGACAGGAAGAGCCAACCTGTGAGTGTCGAGGTGAGTCGGATCACCTATGAGGAGAAGCCGAACAGACATAGTAAGGCCGGAGAACAGAAAGGCAGTTGATGAAAACACGGAGTCAGAATTAAGGGAAATGTGAATATTATTGGGAAGGATGGAAAGAGGCAGGGGGAGGAATGCAAACCAACAATGGAATGTGGACTTGGGGGTCCTGGGCTTCCTCTTAAAGGAGGAGGAGCGCTCTGTGGGACTTTGGAATGACAGTGAGCTCTGCTTGGATGCTAGGACTATCTCTGGTAGGATTCACTGCTCCAAAGCTCAAGAAAGAGGTAGATTCCCGGTAGAGTTAAAAACACGGGAGGGGAAGCAATCACTTGGTAGAAATAGAAGAGAAGACAGGCAGGGAAGGAATCCTAAGGGAAAACTACAGCTAAAGGGAAGAGAAGAAAGAGAACAATTTCAAAGAAAACAGAGGAGGCAAACTGAAGGATAGGAAAAGCCCAGGAGCGGAAGTGAAGTTAAAGACAAAAGAAGGACCAATTGTGGTAGGAAGTGCTCCTGTCCTTGAATTCCCCAGTGATGAGTGGAGCCCCTGAGAGGCGGAACCCTCCTGAGCAGGAGGAGTGCACAGTGAGATGGGGGGAAGAGCCAAGGAGAGTGGCAGCCAGCAGGACTCACCGCCCAAATGTGCTGCTTTGACAGAAGGGTTATTTTGAGCTGAAGATGCTTAAGAAGAAACAGACACTAGAAAAGCCCTCTGCCTTCCTGATATTTGCTAAGGCAGGACTTGCGTTTGTAAAGGTGACTCCCGTCCTCCAAACCAGGAGGTTAAGGAGTCAGTTACCTGAGATTATTCTAGACCTTTATCAGCTGGGAGGAGCCACAGGAATCTACCCAACAAACCTTACTCACTAGCCCTTGTCTTCCATCGACTTGCTTAAATATTTACATATATGCAATTTCCCTCCCCTGAATCTCAAAGCCCTTTTCCTTTGTCTTGTCACTTTTTCTGAAAAGCCTATTGGTCTGTGTCTAAGATGCTCCAGAAGCCCAAGTTCTAACCACCCCTCAGAGTTCCTCATTCCTGAGTTAACCTGCATGCATGCAGGATGCACTGGCCAATAAACTTGTTTGCTTTACCCTTGCTAATCTTGTTAATCTCTCTTCTGTCAGTCTCATTTACAGGGCCCAAGCGAGGAGGGTGGAGAGAAAATGAGTCTTTTCCTCCCCTACAATATCCATGGGCATAGACGGGGGTGAGCACCACAGCAGAGCCAAGTGTTGGGGCTTCGTGGTCAGTCTGGGTGGGGGCGCAGGTGTTGGGAGGGAGTTGTTCCTCATCCTCCTGGGTCCTGGAGGGCCACTGGAGTGAGATGGGTTAATGGGTGAAGACAGGGTGTCCCGTCAGAAGGAGCACATGCAAAGGCCAGAGTTTCAGGTCAGGAAATAGAGCTGGAATCTGCAATCCAATTTAGGATGAGTCATGCAATCAAATGTGTTATTGTTTTAAAATATGGGACTATTTACTTAGTACTATTGCATGCCAGCGTCACAAGCAAAGGAGGGTGAATATTGACAGAATACACACCAGACTGTTGGGACTTAGAAAATAATACCCCAAAATGAAGGCCTCAGAAGCAAACATTTTTCCTCTGACCTCCGGCCCCCCTGTCTCTCAGCCCCATTCTCCCCAGAGGCTGGCCACAGACACTAGAATCCCTTTCCTCAAGGTGAGTCATGGAAACTAGAATCCCTTTTCCCCAAAGCCAGCCATAAAACCTTAAAATATTATTCTAACTCCCACCCCCTACTCCCTGCATTTCTGTGTAAAACCTGACCATAAAGAAATTGTCTGACCTACCCTGTTTGATTATAGGTCATGAGAACCCCATTTCCAGAGAGACTCCTGCCCCACACCCAGGAGAAAGAAATGCATGCTCAGAGAGTCCGTGAATGACCTAGATAGACAGGGCTCACTGGGTTTCTCTACTGCATCCATCAGCATTAGATCAGGCCCCTTTTTTCAATTATATTTCTACATGGCTGTCCGTGACACTGAGTCCAAAGCTCGTACTACTCAGCACATGAACAGGCAATATGTTAAAGAAACAAGGAGTTGAGGCAAGGAAACTGACATGATTTTGGAAAGTCAGCAAACTGAGAAGATTGCACACTAATGTCCTAAAGAAGAACCATCTTAAAAGGCCTGAATCTCAAGCTTGTTTTTCTACTGGGGAAGGGGAACAAGAAGTGGATTTAGGTCAGGAGGTGACTGCTGACACAGACATCTGGACATCAGCAGGAGTTTGAGGAGGTTGCAAAACCTCTTTGTCCTTGGCCAGGTCACAGTGCTCCTATACATTGTCAACCAAACATTGCCACTTGTGTGTACACCCTGTTTATGTCCTCGAGTTAATTTTGGCAAGGGACTACTATTATCCTTGCCTGAAAGTTTAACTGTAAACTAAATTCCTCCCATACTTAGCTTGGCCTGCATAAAGGAATGAGCACTGGCAGTTAGCTTGTGAAGTTAGAAGCAACATGAAGTTGGCTATGTTAGCTTTCTCTCACATTCGTAGTTTGTTGAACCTAAACATAAAAATAGTCTATCCCCCCTGTATCTTGGGGACTTCATTCTTAAAGCTCTCGTATCACATACAACTGTGATCAAATAAGTTTGTGTGCCTTTTCTCCTGTGAATGCACCCTGTTGTCTGTGATTTTTCAGTGAACGCTCAGAGGGTTAAGGGGAAGTTTTTCCCTTCACTCCCACACGACCTTCCAGAACGGTGCTTATTAGGGGAGGTTCACGGAGTGTGGTTCTGCTTTATCCTCAGGACAGCAGGTGTCCTGGCGCCATGGTCCTGGGCACTCAGGATGAATGATGGGGAAAAACCAGCTTTTCCTCTTAAATACTCAGGAACTGCTATTCCAGCAGTGGGTCGTAACAGAACCTCAATATCCTACCCTAATCCCCAGAGTGCATCTTCTGAGGGAATCCTGGCCTCCTTTCTGCCATGACTGGGGCCGGAATCTAAGCCTCGATGTTTCAGGTCTACGTCCAGGAGATGAGTGCCTCCAGCCCCATCCATCAGCTCAACACTCTATGAAGACAGATTGTCTTAGCACCAGTTATAGCAGGTTTCCCTGAAACTCTTCTGGAGGCCAATCTAAATCACACATTTTAAGTTAATAGCCCAGACCCTTAAGCCTCTGATTTCTCTTTTAATTCTCAGAGCAAATCAACAAAGTAGGATTTATTTTATCTCATTTTTTTAAGTGACAACATTGAGGCATAAAGATGTAAAGATCCTCAAGGTTCCAGCACTGTTAGTACAGCTGAACCCAAATCCTCCTGGCCCCAGAACCGGGCCCTCAACACCACTATCTAGAAAGCTGGGTAGGAGCAGAATCGTGTAGGGCATTGAGCTTCACCCTGAAAGCAAATGAAAGCCACTGATGATTGTTAACTCATGAAAGATCCAATTTGTGTTTTAGAAATATCACTAGAGATAGAATTTGGAGGATAGATGTACTGGAGAGACCAGTGAGTTGCTCAATGGAGCCACAAACAGATGAGAGGAAGGCCTCTGAAACTCATCTGAGAACCTCTGAGTATGGCAAGAGATACACAGAGCCATGAAACACTGAGTATTTCAGAACACCCACCCTGTCTCATTGAACAGCTGGTCAGTAAACTTTTAGATTTTGTGCATTAAAGAGTGGATTATAGTAAGAGCTCCCCAGCCTCATAGCCAGCTACCACAATGGCTTATCCCCAGTGAAAAATCCCACTGCTTTTCTCAGGATCCTTGCCACCCCCATTTCCCAGCTGTGCCTGATAGCGCGGCTGCCTTGAGAAGCACTTAGAAGAAAGGGTTTTGCCAGTCATGAGATGTCAAAGCTCCTCATCAGTGTTTAAGTGCTGTGGACATTTACGGCTATGACTACTCCCTTGTCATGAATATTATCTCATTATGTCGAAATGCTTTATACCCTTGATAGAAAGAAACAACAGACTGAAAATCCAAATAACTATTATTGCCATTATTATTATTATTAAAGTATTTGCAGAATTGCCTCATTAAAAGGCAGTTTGTTACAAGTTAACTGTCTTGCATTTCTCTTTTCCAGTCTTTCTGGGGCTTTTGATTCCTTTTATAATCTCTTAGTTGTTCTTAGTAATGAAGAAAAGAATCTATTAAACACATGCTCATAGAATATAAAGATATGTTTATTTTCAGTAATCTCTTTTTTAATAAGCCTATTTCTTACAACAACTGAAGAAGAACATGTAGTTAATGTAGTTAATTTTCTTTCTAAACGTCTATCTACATATTTATCTAAATCAAGTCATATTTATGAAGGGTCCTCATTTGTTAACAAATGGAATATTCAAGAAAGAAAGAAACAATATTCAAGAAAGAAAGAGACAGTCTAGATAATTGGTAATATACCTTTAGACAGGAGATTCGTTTGTGCATTTAAATCCCTTTCTAACACAGCATATTTAAATATGAAGTCTCTATGCTAGTGGCTATTAATTTTAGGCAAGTTAAATGCCACTAAATATATGCATATTTTCTTTTATGCATTTTTGACACAATCTCAAAGCAGTTTTGAGACTCCTTAAATCTATTCATGAAACCCCCAGGTGCTGGAGCTCCAATTACAGAGCAATTATTGTTAGCTGACCAACATCCACTCTTTCACCGCTGGTAACAAAAGAAATCCAAATTTCTTTAGGAAACCCACTCCTGCTTTTCAGTTTGGGGAAATAGACCCCAGAATTATCTCCACGCATGGAATCAATTGGATTAAATTGAACCTCTGTGTATCTCATCTCCCTCAAACCTAGTGATGGGCTTTGAAACTGTCAGGTAAACCGATGAGAGTCAAAGAAATGTAATAAAATGGTTGCCGGAGCTCAGGAAAAGAGAAAGCTTTCTTCCTTCCTCTGGACCTAGTGGTGTGGGAGTGGGAGACATCAGATGGTCCAAGAAACACTAGCTCGAAGGAAGATACAATAGAGCCTTTGGTACTATCATTTGTTTAAGGCCTGAATATTGTCAAATCCCAAACAGGTCTCCCTGTAGACATCTCTGTTACAGAAGCCAAGACTTTTCTGCTTTTTCTTCAACTAATTTGATTTCGGCTTGTGGCCACATTTGGTGCAGTCCTAAATGATGTGCATGAGTCTGAGGTCACTGGCCCTCGCCTAAAGAGAAGTTTTTACTGCTTAAACTTGCCTACATTTTGGCACTGGACCATGTCTTATTCAAACAAGGTATGATTGGGGATTTTCTGCAAATTATTAATGTTTTTATCCTTCAATGATAATTGAAAAGTTAAGAAGAAGTTACAGCAAATCAGGTGCATCCCGAACTTTTATAAAAGTATTGAACCCTAAAAACAGGAGAAATGAAGCAAAAGAAAATCATGAAAGAGATAAGCTATTAGAAAAATTATTGGGCCAATTGATAATAGGCAGACAAAGAAGTAGAGGTATTTAGAGGGTTGATTTTTTTTCTCTAAGAACTAAACATGGCTAGAGTTTAGTTTAGGATTCAAGGTGAACTTTTTGTTTCCATGCCATACATGTAGTTGAGAAGTAAACGTTGAAACACTTTTAGGTTGAGTACATTTCTGAGCCCAAATGCAGGGATGGAGAATGCTACTTCCTAAGTTTTTCATCATAATTCCTTGCAGGGGAGAGGGCATGAGGCTTCTCACTGTGCACTGCACACTTCTAATGTGAGGTCTAATGCAGAGTCCTGGATGAGCAGGGGAGAGAAAAAGAGAGAAGCCGTGGAATCTGACTGCTGTGGGCCTGGCGTTCTAAGTGCACACTCCACAAGCGAGGGCCACAGCCATGTGCAGGTCACACAGTCCTCTGAGCAGCAGCCTCCTCCCCTATCAAACGGGGATCACAAGGGCAGGCTTTTCACAGGATGACCATGATGACAAAATGAGGATGCATGGGAGACAACTCTAAGGACAATACTGCTCCATAAAATTCATTGAGTATTGTTATTGCTTCTGTTGTTTTTCACCTGCAACCTCTGGCACCCAAATTGTAGCATCCTCTTCAGCTGTGAGCTGCCGCATTTACTCACTTATCTCCTTTATGCTGAACAGTATTGAAAGTGTTTTTCAGGGTAGGCAGGTTTAAGGCAGGGACAAAAGTAGATACCCTTCTTCTCTGAACACTTTAAAACATATCTGCTTCATATGAATTAGTAATTAAGTACCATAGTCCTGCCTTATCCACAGTTTCACTTTTCACAGTTTTAGTTATTGGTGATACAGTGAAATAAGAGAGACCAAATTTAGATAACCTTTTATTATAATATATTGCTATAATTGTTCAATTTTATTATTAGTTATCATTGTTAATGTCTTACTCTGCCTAATTTGTACATCAAACTTGGTCATAGATTTGTAGGTATAGGAAAGAACATGGAGTATGTGGGGCTTGGTAGCATTGGAGGTTTCAGGCATACACCCGGGGTATTGGAATGTATCCCCCATGGATAAGGTGAGAACTGTTGTTAACATTAGGCTAAGAATCTTAATCCTTACTATTTCAGTATCATTTTAATTTTCAGACAATTGATAGAGGTAAAAGTCATGTGAGTAAAATTTTTCAATTCACAGGATAATAGAAAATAAAATAATATCCCAAGATTTAAAGAATGAACAGATATTGTATGTTGATATTTTGTAGGTTATATATAATCTCAGTTTTGTTTTTTTTTCTAAATACAGTAAGAAAGTAGCCTAGGTCAATTTAAAACTAATTATCACAGAAGTTTTGACTCAATGTAGAAATTGTCAAAATTGTATTCTCTCAAAAAAACAGTTTTGATAATGTTATCAAGTTTCCTAACTAGAAAATGCTGATTATTGACAAGATCATATTATAATGGTTTTCCTTGAAGGAAAAGGGGGAACACAGTACATTAGTTTTTAAAGTTGTTTAAGATATACATGACTACAAGTTATACTTTTTAAATTTTTTTTAAATTTTAAGCTCTCGGGTACATGTGCAGGAAGTGCAGGTTCATTACGTAGGCAAACATGTGCCATGGTGGTTTGCTGCACCTATCAACTCATTACCTAGGTATTGAGCCCAGCATGCATTAGCTGTTTATCCTGATGATCTCCCTCCCCCCATCCCCCAACAGACCCCAGTGTATGTTGTTCTCCTCCCTGTATCCATTCTCATCATTCAGTTCCCAGTTATAAGTGAGAACATGCAGTGTTTGGTTTTCTGTTCCTGCATTAGTTTGCTGAGGATAATGGCTTCCAGCTCCATCCATGTGCCTACATAAAACATGGTCTCATTCCTTTTCATGGCTGTGTAGTATTCCATGGTGTATATGTACCACATTTTCTTTTTCCAGTTTATCACTGATGGGGATTTGGGTTGGTTCCATGTCTTTGCTATTGTTAATAGTGCTGCAATAAACATACTCATGCATGTATCTTTGTAATAGAATTATTTATATTCCTTTGGGTATATACCCAGTAAGGAGATTGCTGGGTCAATAGAGTGGGATAAAATTTTTACAATCTGTCCATCTGACAAAGGTCTAATGTCAAGGATCTACAAGGAACTTAAACAAATTTACGAAAAAAAATTCAAACAACTCCATTTAAAACTGGGCTAAGGAAATGAACAGAAACTTCTCAAAAGAAGACATTCATGTAGCCAACAAACATGTGAAATAAAACTCAACATCACTGATCATTAGAGAAATTCAAATCAAAACCACAGTGAGATATCATCTCACTCCAGTCATAATGGCGATCATCAATAAATCAGAAAACAACAGATGTTGGCGAGGTTGTGGAGAAATAGGAATGCTTTTACACTTTTGGTGAGAACATAAATTAGTTCAACCATTGTGGAAGATGGTGTGGCTATTCCTCAGAGATATTATACTTCTTATTCAGTCTTTACTTTTTAAAATTTTGCTTGCTTCGTTATAGACTAAAAGTCTATTGTGTACTAAGATGAGGTAATATTTGTGTTCTCATCTAAAGTTGTCCTGGACATTTCAAAAGTGCATAGTCTGCAGGTTTTGGCTATTAAAATTGTATGACTTTTTTGTTGGTCAGAGTTTTCCAGAGAAACAGAAATCACAGGATGTTTCCATATGTAGATGTATAAGTAGAATAAGGAATTGGCTCACATGACTATAGAGGCTAAGTCCCATGATCTGCCATCTTTAAGCTGGAGACACAGGAAAGTCGGTGGTGTAAATTCCAGTCTGAGTCTCACAGCCTGAAAATCAGCAGAGCCAACACAAGTTTCAGTGCAAGGGCCAGAGAAGACCAGGGTCTCAGCTCAATCAGTCAGACAGGGGAGACAGCTTGCCCTCCTCTGTTTTTCGCTCCATTGGGGCTGTCCCTTGGTTGGATGAGAGCCACCAACACTGGGAAGGCTCTCAGTCCATCCATTCAAAGGCTAGCCTCCTCCAGATACGCCCTCACAGGCACACTTGGGCACAATGTTTAGCTAAATATCTTGGCACCCTGTGTCCCAGTCAAACTGACACATAAAAGTAACCATTACAGCTCTGCAGAAAGTCTTCGTCTAAATAGAAAAGTACAGGTATAACTGTAATACTGTTAGAGTAATTCTTTTTTTCATTATGGATTTACTATAGTGCAGCCTTTTCTCAATAGAATTTAAATTTTTTTCGGTATACATATTCTATGAAAGCACAAATGTCTTTGCTAGTAAATATTCTTTAAAAACACAATCTCCAGTTTCATAGCAACCAAGATTATGGTTAAATATGCAGACATTTGGGTTTATATAGTAGTCAAGAAAATACATTTCCAACAAGATCCAAACAAAAAGCAAAACTAACAAAATCTCACTTTTCCTCCTGTAATTTTTTTACAATAATTAACAAATATAATTTCTTCCATTTCTCCAGATAAAGTTCAGTACATACTAATATAGTTAACAAAAATTTAAATTTTTTTTAGTAGCAAGCTTGCCTGATGGAAATGGTACTCCATTTGAGCGCCTTGGTATTAGAGTTTGATGAAATAGTTTTGATGTGTTTATTTATGTTTATCTCAGAGCAAGAGAGTAATGATAGATGTTTCTGATTTGGTATAATTGAGAAATCTAGATTAAAATGTAATCCTCTTTTATTTTGAAATAACACAAATTATTTCATCATCTTCTTTCAAAATGGCCATTAATGATTTTTCTCAAGGAAGTTAAATTTTATTCACCATATTAATTAGTTCTAGTCATTCAAATGAATGTACTAGTCTTATAAAGTAATTATGCCATAAAACTGTCCCTTTGAAATGTCAATAAACCTATTTCTACTTTTCCATCACAATATTTGTTAATATAGATGTCACATTCTACAAGGACAAAAAGCCACAAGCAACTGTAGATTGAAATAAGTCGTTGTAACACAGAATATTCCCATTTATATTATTGAATAAATAGGTCTATCCAGTTTACAAGTAAGAGTAAAATACAAAATCTTTTGCAGAACAACATTCATACATTTCATTCCAAAAGATCTAAAAAATCAAGAATTCTACAAACAAAAGCAAAACAAATTGTGTTAATTCTATACCCTGTTTATGTTTGCGAGGTAAAATATATATATATATATATATATATATATATATATATATATATATATAAAATAAATCTAAAACACAAACTTCTATTAAAAAATCCATGAAAAAAGAATGCACTTTTAATGAAACAATACAGCAGTCAAGAACCACTCAAAACTCAGAATACTTTAACGGGGTGGTTATTGAGGAAATTAAATTTCCAAAGCTTGTCCCCTGAGACCTAAGAAAGTTAGACAAGTAGAAGGTGGTGCTGTGTTTTATCTTGGTCACTGAATGTTAAAAACCCGGGTGGGTGGGTGGGTGACATAAATGCTCATTCTCTGCTCATGACACTAAATTGGCACAGGCCCTTCAAGAGCAATTTGGTGGCATTAAGTAAAACTGGAGACAGTCATGCAGTTTTACCAAGTAATCACATTTGTAGATACCTGAAGGAAGCCTCAAACTTACATTAAATGGGAAAATGAGGCGAAGTGTAAAAAAAGAAAAAAATGAAAAATATTAGAAAACAACTTAAAAAAAAGAAATCTTGCTTAAAACAATCTGTACTATCCATAAACATATGATAAAATATTACCTTCTTGAAATAATAAAAAAATCAAGAAAAGATAAAAGGAACATTCAGATAGCCAAGAAATAGGATTTGGTGTGAAATACAATGAGAAGGAAATATCCTAGAACCTAGAAAGTAGAACAAAGGAAATGAGGGGTTAGGTCAAGGATGAGAACAGTCAGATTTTGGGAATAGGTAATCAGCACTGAGTAAAACAGAAGGGAATTTCCAGGATAACAACTGAGAGAAGCCCTGGGCTGGCCACTGGGTACCAGTTGCAGAGCCACCGTCAGATTGCAGCAGAGGCAGAGGCCCCAGGGGACCCAAGTAAATGTCCCTTTGGTTGCTGCTCTGTCGCAGAAATCTTTTTATTTCCCTGTGGGAAAATTTCATTCTTCCCTAAATTCTGACTGAACACATTAAAATATTGTCAACTCATTAAGTACACTGACTTAAAAAAATCAAAATGGAACATACATCCAATTGCCTTCTGAAAAAAAGAGAACTTTTTTTTGAGATCTCACATGTATGACACTGGTGACTGCCTCCTCACTTTTGTCAGATTTAATTGGAAGCTGCAGCAACAAATAGCTCCCGCATTTCAGCGGCTTGCGGCCCCTGCATGTTGTTGCTGGTGTTCTGTGGAGTGTGCTGGAGACTACAGCTCCCTACGCTACTCCTGTCTTCTTCTGGGACCAAGGCTGGATAAGCGTGGTACCCTGCAGCAGCTAAGTGTGTCTGTGCCTGCTAAACGAACTGCAAAAGGAGCTGCATGCTACCAGCAAATCCTAGACACATGTTCCTAAAAAAGACTAGCAAAAAAAAAAATAAAACATCCTTCACTCCGTGCACTATTATTAGAATCAGTCTTAAGGAGCATAACAGAAGAAAAGAAAAATAACTGAAATATTCACACCACAGAATACTACAAAACAGTTAACAAGTTTGCTTGGGTAACAGAATAAATTCTCCAAAAACTTTGTGACAAAAATATGTAAGAAATGGAATGTGCAGTGTGAGACACTTAAATTTTAAAATAGATAAAGCACTGCATGAAAAATTCATGAATATGCATATATAAAGGTAGCATAAAATATGAATAGGGTGACTGAAAACAAATTAAGGGTAACAGGTTATCTCAAAAGGGGAGAAAAGGGGTATTTCAGGGCTCAATAAGGGACCTCATGTTTAGTTTAATTTCTTTGAAAAGTGTGAAATGCATATGCCAAAATATGAAGATTTAAGAAAGCTGGCGGTTCATTATGTTATTCCCTATACCTTTTTTTATTCTTCATAATAAATTCTAAAATCTCAGACACTATGTAAACTGTAAATGCCCCTCTTATTGTCATCATTGGTGCAACTTGTGCAGCCCTGGGCAAGTACCTTCTGAGTACCTGGAGGTAAGGCTGATTATCTGCTTCATCTACTGGCATAAAATGAAAACTTAAAAAAAATGAATCAAAATTATGACCTCAGCAAAACTGGAGACTAAAATTAACATCCCTTCCCAAAACTCACCCTATCACCTAGTACCAAACTGACAAGTCATTGTGCTTATATATTCATGTGCATTCTTGCTAACTGACAGTTTCCCTTACAAAACTTTTTGCCCATTGTCTATCCTCTGCCTAATTCTTATCCTTCCCCAAATGCTCTCCAGGCTAAGTAAGAACAGATACACATGTAGTAGCCGAGATGACATCACAGCTCCAAGATTCACTTCCTGTGGCTGTCTGTGTTCTCTTACTGTGACGGTTATGGGCAGCCGGTGAGCAGGTCCTGCCCAGTAGTCCCGAATCTCAAACCCTTAAGGCTAAACTCACAGGAATTTAGCAAACATGCAACAAAGGAATGTAAAGGAAACAAACACATTACACAGTCCCTGTTTGCTCTCTTCCCATTTCTCTCTCAGGCATTTCTAATAGTTTTACAAAGTATAGCTAAAACAGGGAAAATGTACAGTTTTCCTAAAGCTAGGGTGGCCCAAGCCTAAGGGAAAAGAAATGTAGAATATCCCTTTGTGTGGGATCATCGCAGAACCACCACAAATCGATTTGTATTTTTTTAAAAGCAATAGAAATTTCATTTCCAAAAAAAAAAAAAAATCCTATGCTAACCTCTAAATTTTTATTTATGTATGTATGTATGTATGTATGTATTTATTTATTTTGAGCTAGGGACTCACTCTGTCACCCAGGCTGGAGTGCAGTGGCACAATCATGGCTCACTGCAGCCTCAAACTGTTCAGTTCAAGTGATTTTTCTGCCTCAACCTCCCCAGTAGCTGGGACTACAGGTGTGTGCCACTATGCCTGGCTAATTTTTTTTAAATTTTTTGTAGAGAAAGGGTCTCACTTTGTTGCCCAGGTTGGTCTCGAACTCATGGCCTCAAGCAATCCTCCTGCCTCTGCCTCCCAAAGTGTTAGGATTGTCGGCATGAGCCACTATGCCTGGCTCACATGCTCATTTTAGCCAGGGATCATTAGCAATAGCGGTTATAGAGTCAAATCTGTGTTTGTGATTTTTGGATATTTTATTGCCTGGAAGGTAAGAATTAATTGATTTTTTTAAGTTTGCTTGTGATTATATTATGTTCCTGAGCCATGAATATCATGCAAACCTTGCAATATCTTGCTGTGTTTGGCACTCAGAGTGTGGCTCTTGCTGACATGAAGTGAAGACTGCATTGGCTCTGACTTAGTCACATGCAGAATCTGAAATCCGATGAGCCCAATTCTAAATCTTGGGTCACCTTTAGCCTTACCTTTGAATTGTTTTCTTCACTTTCTTCCCTGGGAGAAAGCTCATTGCTAAAGACCTATGATAGCTTCAACATTTGAGTGAATTTTCATGCTATAAAATGATATGGGTTATTTTAAAACAAAATAGTACAAAATAATTTATCATTCATAACATTTTTCTATATCCATTTGCTCAAGCATGAGTTAGAATCCTCTTAAATTAAGGAAATGAAATTTCCTACACTGTTCTCTGGCATGGAAGCAGCATTCATTATGCATCTCCTAAATTTCCTCTTTACACCACCTCCCCTAAGGAAGGAGCTTGAACTCCCATGGAGAGTTTTCATCTCTTCTCATGTTTCCCTTCTTCAAGTCAATGGCCAGTCCTAAGCCACTTTGTTTTTCCTATCTGTCTAGTTTTATCTCTTTTCCCATCCCCGTGTCCATGGCAAAGCTTGTGGCAAGTATAGGTAGGTAGAAATAATTAATGCTGCGATATGGTTTGGCTGTGTCCCTACCCAAATCTCAACTTGAATTGTATCTCCCAGAATTCCCACGTGTAGAGGGAGGGACCCAGGAGGAGGTAATTGAATCACGGGGGCCAGTCTTTCCCATGCTAGTCTCATGACAGTGAATAAATCTCATGAGATCTGATGGGTTTATCACGGGTCTCTGCTTTTGCTTCTTCCTCATTTTCTCTTGCTGCCACCATTTAAGAAGTGCCTTTTGCCTCTCGCCATGATTCTGAAGCTTCCCCAGCCATGTGGAACTGTAAGTCCAATTAAAACTCTTTTTCTTCCCAGTCTTGGGTATGTTTTTATCAGCAGTGTGAAAACAGACAAATACGTGCTGAGACACGTGGCGTGGTCGGGGTAGAGCGGCAGATTTTATCAGGCTCCGGGTCTAGGTACAGCTGTGATGGGCATTGTGTTACTGTCCGTTTGAAAACTCAATTTACCATCTTAACCTCAGCCTTGAGGTAAGAAGCATGTTATGTTTCTTAGCATCTACTTATTGAGTACAAGTAACAATGTGTCTTCCCTGAGCTGGGTTTGCCTTTGGAGTTGCTCTGAAGTTTCAAATACAATAAGTCACGCCAGATCTTCCCACGGCTTAAAAACGCTTTAAACGTCACTTAGGATTCCTGAAGTCTTGCACATACCTCTTGATCATTTCAATAAAGTGGAATCAAATTTATCTGTCTAATCGAATGAAGACTTTTCCATAGGAAGTCCTAGTAAAACACTGAGTCTTTTGATCCTGAATACTCAGCCTCCATTGTATTTTCTCAGTGTCTCATTGTGTCACTTTATTTTGTTTTAGTAAGCTTATTTTTTCTTTGTTTTTCTTATTTTGTTTAAATTTTCACCATCAGACATTTGTCTGAAATCCAAGCTGATTAAGATAGCAACTTTCCCCAAAAGTTAAATTTCACTGGGACCTTCATATTTATTGCCCTCATAGATAATACCACTTCTTAGCAAAGACTCATAAACCATTTCTCACAGTACTGAAAACCTTTTCTGTTTTTTGAATTTTTACTCTTTAGAGCAAGGATCTTCCAGTTTCATATTTTTCTTACATTCCTGAAACAGCGAAATGGAACAGCTACCACTTTTTATTTGAGTAGCACAGAGAACAGAATACATGTAACTCATCATCACAGGGGCTACCATCATAAATACAGTTTGTAAAAGGAGACAGGATCCTTGGAAATGTTTCCAGCAGGTGGAGCACATCATGGCTCCAATCCATGTGCGGCTCCCCTTTATTGCTTACTAAGGATGCATATTTCATATCCTTTAAAAAAATAATAAAATCACACACATGACAGCAAGATTTAATAAGAGAGTCTCAAGCCAAAGAGTAACACCTAGTGCCAATCTGGATATTTTCTGGGGCATAGGATTGAGAAATTTCAGGAGACCTCTGAAAAAATACACATACAAATCCCCAAAATAAAAGCTCCAGAACACCTGGTGCTCCTCCCTGGGCCTCTGCGCCTGGCCATGCCTAGGACACAGGAGAAGGTGTGGGAGAAGTGCAACGCTCAAAGTCCACTCGTAATCCCTGCAAGACGCCCACGCATATTCCAGGAAGATGAGAAGGTATTCATTTTAATGCAGCATTCATAGTTTAACTAAATACATGACAGAACCCACGAATCAAAAAAAAAAAAAACAGCAAAACCCCATTTGTTTAAAACTGGGCAACAATTCCAGAAACTAATCAGTAAGCTCTTTCTACTCAACACACAAATTTGTCATCAACCTAATCATCGTCCTCAGCACACAATTACTAAGTTCCCACATCTGCAGGATGCTGTGCCAAACACTCTTGAAAACAAGTTACTCTGTCCCCGCAGGACTTGAGTCTTGAATACAGATGCATAAAGCAGGGCATTTGGATTGCACAATGTGAACACACACACACAAGCATGTCCATTCACACACACTCACATGTGAACATATACACACACACACACATGCATACCCACTTACACACCCTCGTGTGTGTGCATATATGCAGACACATGCATGCACACATACATGTGCATGCACACACTTGTGCACACACACACAATCTAATTATTAAATATATATATTGCAACCAACTGGGACACCCTCAGCTCTACTAAACAAAGAGGAACTTTATTGTATGCCATTGTATTGCATAATGTTTATGAATTAAAAGCAAAAGCCTTAGTGTGCTTGGCAGAGAACATAGATGCATACATCCTGTTTTCCTTCTTAGAGGAACAAATTGTATCTTAACTGCTTCACAGAAAATCATTACGTGTAGTACTCTCACATAGAATCTTTTAGTTATGCAATAAATACTTGTTGAATATAAATGATTACTTTCTAATCTATCTGTATTGTGAGAATGATTTTTTCCTCTATTTCTATATTAGCTGTTATTAAGAAGATTCATGCCTAAGTTCTTCTTTGCTGTCAATCTCTAAAACCCAATAGTCTGGTACTCCCTCAGATGAATCTATAACTTATTAAAAAGATCCTATGAGAATAACACAAATTCTATTATTTGTTGCCATTTTCTAGTCTACCACTGGGATATGATGGAAACACAGGTGTTAAGTGCCACCTCAAAAGCAATCATCTATGTACATAGACCGACTCCCTTTTACTCTGTTGGCTGCTAAGGGAAAGTACCTGATGTGCCATAATTAACATTCAACTGATGCCGCTGGAATTCACAGAATTTTAGTGTTTCTTGTTCCCCCTCAGCTTGTTACAGCCTCAGAGCATTCACCCACCGTGTCTCTGCCTGAAACACACTTCCTGAAGGTGCTTGCATGGACTGCTTCCTTGCTTTATTTAAATCTTTGCTTAAAAGCTTATTGCCACCACCACCAAGCTTCCCCACCAAGTCCAGTCTCTCTCACTTTTGCCAACCCATCAACCTTCCGAGTGTTCATTTATTGTTTCTCTCAGCCAACTAGAATATCAAACAGGAAGGCAAAATATGTCTGCGTTTGGTCACTTCTGTGCTCCCAATGTCTAGACCAGGGCCTAGCACATACAAAGTGCTAAATAAAGATTTCTTGAATTAATAAATCATTGAGTTAAATGTCTCACAGGATATATATTTTTTTAAAAAATTAAATGTGACATCCATTCTTCTGCATCCTCTGTGTTTGTTTTTTGAGACAGGGTTGTGCCTTGTCACCCAGGCTGGAGTACGGTGGTATGATCACAGCTCATTGCAGCCTTGACATTTCAGGCTCAAGTAATCATCTTGCCTCAACCTCCAGAGTAGCTGGGACTACAGGAGCTCATCACCACATCCACCTAATTTCTTTTTTTTTTTTTTTTTTTTTTGAGACAAAGTTTCATTCTTGTCGCCCAGGCTGGAGTGCAATGGCGTGATCTCAGCTCACCGCAACCTCCGCCTCCCGGGTTCAAGCCATTCTCCTGCTTCAGCCTCCTGAGTAGCTGGGATTACAGGCATGCACCACCACACCTGGCTAATTTTGTATTTTTTAGTAGAGACGGGGTTTCTCCATGTTGGTCAGGCTAGTCTCAAACTCCCGACCTCAGGGGATCCACCTGCCTCGGCCTCCCAAAGTGCTGGGATTACACACCTAATTTCTTATATATGTAGAGTTGGGGTCTAACTTTGCTGCCCAAACTGGTCTTGAATTCTTGGGCTCAAGCGATCTTCCTGGCTTGGCCTCCCAAAGTGCTGGGATTACAGGCATGAACCACCTTGCCTGGTCCATTCTTCTGCATATTCTATCACACACATTTGCCAAATGGTGAAAGGTCATAAGGAACTTGTTCCATTCACTTCTGCTTTCTGCATCCCCTACTCCCAGAAAAGCTAGGAAGCAGACATTCCGGTGCCTGATCTCCAGGGAAATGTCCTCACCAGGCTCCACTCCCTGGGCAACCACCTGAGCTCCTCAGGGTTTATCGAGGGTGCTTGTGCTTTTACCAGCTCCACCTGGGGAAGTAAATCTCGCTGAGCTAGAAAAGGACCACACTCTTCATAATGCATGCTCCTTTCCTAATGGTCATGCCCAGGCGCCCTGAGAAAGCTTTTAGGCATCTCAAAAATTGGCCATCAGGCACTACCACTGTTCGCTCTTCACAGGTACATGCCCTCATAAATTCCTGCAGCCACCAGCCCTGCTGGCCCCAGGAGCCAGGGCAACAAGGATAGGCCGAGAAGCTGAGGGTCAGCAGAGACAATGACGCAGCTTATGGAAATGGGGATGTAAGAATTTGGTGAAGAGAGGCAGGATCTTCCTCTTCGAGAGCAAGGTTCTCATGTCCCCAGCATCCAGCAGCACCTGCCTTCTCTGCGTGCCATCATGGCAGCCAAGGTGTGGCAGTGAAGGGTGCAAATGAAGCTGCTGTTTCCATAGAGAGTGTGACTTACTGGAGGAAACCAATATTCACATAAACAAAGGATGCATAATTACAGATAGTAATAAGTCTCATCAAGGGAATAAACAGAGAAAATATAAAACATGCAGCCCAGGCTGGAGGCAGTGCCCCCAATCCCAGGGACCCCATGCTTGGGATCCTGGGGGGCCCTGGACTTGAAACGAATACTAGGTCCCTGAATGGGCTGTCTTTGTCAGAAGGGGGTTGGAGGTGGCTTTGGAGCTGCCATTTGTCTTGCCTCAGACTTCCCAGAGGTACATGCTGAGATGAAGATTTACCTGTAAGCGATCGATTAAAGAACTGCTTCCAGAAGAAGCCAATCTGGCAATGTAAGGGTCAAGAGAGGGAAGCAGGAGATGCCAGGCGGGGACAGCTTCTCAGGGGGTCTCAGCCTCAGCCTGTGTGCTCAGATGCTTGGTGATGATGCTACCTCTGCAGTTTGCTGTGGAGGGAAGGGAGCTGGGCTTCACACACCCACCCGGCAGTCACCTCCCTTGTGGGAGGCCTACAAGCCCCAGGAAGATGCCCTGAACCAGGATGCAACTCCCTAGAAGCTGGGCAGAGCCCACAGAGCTGGTTAAGGGGTCTGTGGGAGGTTAGGCAGAGCCCCAGCAGTGCTAGAAGGAGCCAGCTTACAGAGACCAGCCCCAGGGAGTGGCCATCTCAGGCTGAAGAAACGGAAGGAGCCTGTGTCCTAAGGCTGGCAGGAAGCCAGTGAGGTCTAGGGTGGGAGCTTAGAGAGCTGGGGTGGGTTGGGGGCAGTCATGGCGTAGGAGCTAGGAGAGGCAGGCTGTAGCCGGGAGTTTAGATTTGGTTCTAAGTGTGATGCCAGCCCTTTCGAAGGTCTAAAATATTTGTATTTTATTTTTAAATCACTTTGGCTGCTACAGGAAAGATAGTTTGCAAGAGGGCAAAGGTGAATGTTGGGAAATAACAAACATACACACAGGATTTAAAATAGCTCAAACCTTTTATTTTCATATGCACCTGGATGTAATTAGGAGTCAAGATGTGACAATATATGATAATTTAGGTACCTTAAATGTCCATATAGCTATCTTCCGTCTGTATAGCTATTATTTATCATCTATCATCTATCTACCAATCTACACACCCTCACACACACAAATACACACATTGTTTTATTCTGATAGTTATCTATGGCATTCCACTTTAAACCAAACTAAATTTACATTTCAAATTAAAGGAGACAAATAAGAACATCTTTGTTTCTCAAATGCTAGCCATCTCAGACATACTGTGTCATAGAATACATAGATAACCTTTTATAAACATTTTGATTTAATATCTCTTGCAATTCAAATGGCCCAGAGATTATGTAATGAGACTCATAAACAGCAAATGACTTACTTTCTAAAAATTCTAGAAAATAGCTCACTAAAGCTCCATCGAAGATTAAGCTAAATTACATTATTAAAACAAGCTGATTTCCATTACAGCTTAATGTTTGGAAATAAAGAAATATATAACTACACATTATCTGTGTTCTCTAAAAAGAAAATAAATGTGTGTGTGTGTGTGTGTGTGTGTGTTTGTATTTTTCTATGGAAATATGGAAATCTTTGGGTTAACTGCTGCTCCTTCTTGCCTGCCATATCCCAGATCATTTTGACAGGAGCCCCTGTCTCTCTTGATGTCTGCTGCCACCCGTTATATGAGAAAGGTCAGAAGATATTCCCATGACACATACTCTCTGATAGTCATCTGTGACGAGCTGGACATCACTACTGCCGGTCATCTGTGATGGGCCGGACATCACTACTGCTTTGTGACATATACCCATTACAAATACTGTGTCACATCAAGTATTCAAACCTAAGGAGTATTTAATTGCTTTTATTAGTACCAAATTATATGCAAACATTATTTTTAACATGGCTGAACATTATACCTTTCTCCTACTATTTATCTTCTATACTTTTTTTAACAGGTTTCTGTCTTAGAGTTAATGTTCTTATTCTCCATTTAAAATATGTGTATCTATTTTAAAGCCAGAGACATTTGTACTAGTCTGCTTTCTTAAAGATTACAGTACAGATTGATATTCTTATGGGATTGAAATAACGGCCAGGCATGGTGGCTCATACCTGTAATCCCAGCACATTGGGAGGCTGAAGCAGGTGGATCACCTGAGGCCAGGATTTCAAGACAAGCCTGGTTAAGATGGCGAAACCCCATCTCTACTAAAAATACAAAAATTAGCCAGGTGTGGTAGTGCCACGCCTGTAATCCCAGCTACTTGGGAGACTGAGGCAGGAGATTCGCTTGAACCCAGGAAGTGGAGGTTACAGTGAGCGGAGATCATGCCACCGCACTCCAGCCTGGGCAAAAGAGTGAGACTCCATCTCAAAAAACAAAAAAAAAAAAAAAAGAAAGAAAGAAAGAGGGAAAGAAAGAAAGAAGGAAGGAAGGAAGGAAAGAAAGAAAGAAAGAAGAAAGAAAGAAAGAAAGAAAGAAAGAAAGAAAGAAAGAAAGAAAGAAAGAAAGAAAGAAGAAAGAAAGAAAGAGAAAGAGAGAGAGAGAAAGAAAGAAAGAAAGAAAGAAAGAAAGAAAGAAAGAAAGAAAGAAAGACCCATTATTTCTTCTGCCATAATTTTCAAAAGTTGCTTATGTCTTTAACTTCAACGAAAATAGATTCTAAAGAGAAAAAAAAGTACCAACGACTGCCTCATAAGCAGCCAACCTTGGTTTCATCCCCTGGATTTAAAGCTGCACCTTGACAGATTTCCAACCTTGTTCGGAACTTGAACCATGCCTGTTGCATTTGAAAATAGAACTCATGCAAATAAAGATTTAAATCTCACCAAAGTGGCCCTCTTCCCTTGAATTCTTATGTCTGCTAGATTGTACTTTTTCTATACAGGCAAAAATAGACAACATTTCCAAGGTGTGATGATCACAGCCCAAAAATGAAAATGTAGGAAACTAACTCAGTCCTACATTCTAGTAATAGCAACCATCCCCATCCTCTTCACTCTTTATTTTTGTCAGAGAATTTTTCAGGCTTTTAAAAATTACAGTAGATTTAAATTTTCTATTTTTATTTCCTTAATTATCTTTTTCTTCTTACGATTTAAAAATGTAGTTTTGTCAAAAAATGTTTAATTGAAACTTTTCGGAAAGCACACTTGTTACTGAAAAATTAATCAGCAAAATCAGTGAGCTAATTTTAATGATGATTACTATTTTAATGGGTGAATATTTTTAGCTCTATCTCAAATGCAAAAATGCTCTCTGACTTGGTGAGATTTAAAGTGAGTACAAACCGCGTTATGCCATATCTAACAAGCACAGATAGCACATTATCTTAATTCAAACTAGAAAGATCTTTATAGAATAGATGAAGATGCTGCAATATAGGTAATGAATAAATGATGCCAGAGGAGCTGAAATCCCTATAAGTGGGTAATGACACTGCCCCGGCCCTGGCTGTAGCCAGTTAACTGTTGGGCTGAGAACTGCAGTAATTTTACTTATCCCATTTTTCTTGTTTTATGAAGAAAAAAATATATCTGTCAATTTAGGTTAGAGCTGTAAACTACTGTATTATACCTGGTGGGATATGTTTATGACTCTCATTAATCAAAAATGAGTGCTGTGTGTCTACTATTTAGTTGGAGTGGAGAATGGAATTTTCCATAGCACACCATGTTATGAATTGCTATGACTCATAATATGTTCCCATAAATAAGCTCTCCATGAAATGTGTAATAGTTGCCATGTGGAATATCTGTACCGATAGTTTTTGACCTCAGTATCTGTTATGTGAACTACATTTTCTGTCTTTTGTTTTCACAGTTGAAGCATTAGATGAAACCATAATATTTACTGCTGCACATATGCTCACTGTCAGTATAATATATTTCAAAGCAGCCTCCTGCTATGATGGCGAGGGGAAGGGAGAAACCAGGAAGGGAAAGTGTCAAGGTTTATTCGGTGTGTCAGCTAAAAAGAGCAACAAGCAACTCACTTGTTTCTAGAATACCCTTGTGAGTGAGGTGAATTACACTGAAACTTGTTTTGAAATAAAGAAATTGCTGCTTGAGAAAGCAGCCTCATGGCACTGGGAACAAATATTAACAAATAATAATAATAGTCATGATGACAACCATGTCACTAACAGCCAGGTGGCTGTGCTTACCTGCTCCCAGGTGTCTTACTGCAGTGGTCATGCTGTCTCTTCTGGGCATGCACTACTGTCAAGGACAATGACCCCTGCAAGAGAAGGCATCTCTGTCTTCCCATTTAGCCCTTTTCCTCACCCAGAAAACTGTGGATAAATGAACAATTAGAACTTTTGACTTCAGTAGCAACTGGCTTGAAACTAAAAATATTTCTTATTTGGCGACTGGCATCCATCAAACTGTGGAAGACAAAGAGATGCATCCACTATTTACCTCTCTACCCCCAGCCCAGAGACAGGCCCTGGAATCAACCCAGTGGATCCCAGCCTTCCCTCCTGTCGCAAAAAGGAATAAAATTAAACTGGAAAGAATTATTTTCCTTTCTCTGAGAGATGATTTTTTTTTAGTGATGTCCCTAGTGAAAATGTTTACTTAACCTTTGATAATAAATGAAATAACCACCTTATCAGATAGATACCCAGTTCTATTTTTAGAGTGAAGATTTTAAATATTCAAAAGCATCTAACCATTTGCAGAAAATACCATATGGCCACTGCTCTGAGGGGTTCTTTTTACATGCCTAGGATCACACCGTCGTACCCACTAGATGTTATGTATACCACACACCAACACACTCACATTCACCTGCATGGACCTCCTTTCCCACCACTTGAAAGATAAAGCTTACTTTCATTCACCTTAAAAGGGAGATTTTATTCTTTCTAAATATATACCTAGCAGCAAATTGCTATTTCTATATGTCAGAATGGGACTTTGGTTGAAATCAGAGGGTAGATTTCAGTCCTTGTGAAACTAAGCAGGAAGCAATATAAGGCCAGGTGCCGTGGCTCACACCTGTAATCCCAGCTTTTGGGAGGCCAAGGTAGGAGAATCACTTGAGGCCAGGAGCTTGAGACCAGCCTGGGCAGTACAGTGAGACTCTCATCTCTACAAACAAGGTAAAACAAACAAACAAACAACAACAACAAAAAACCAGCGGGTTGTGGTGGCATGCACTTGCAGTCCCAGCTGCTGAGCCTAGTGCTTGAGGCCAGGAGGTCAAGGTTATAGTGAACCATGATTGTGCCACTGCATTCCATCCTGGGCAATAGCATGAAACCTTATCTCAAAAAAAAAAAAAAAAAAAAAGAAAAAAGAAAAGAATAAGGAATATAATGACTTTTCTCCCTTCTCATCCCCATATAAAGGCATATTATTTTTCCAGCACAACAGAAACAAAAATTAATAGAAAATAAAGTGAGATTCTATGACCATTCTTACTGAGCTCTCATGTATTTGACTTTTCTTGTACACCTTTGATATGCAAGCATTGCCAAAAACAAAGGAACATAAATATTTACACAATAAAAAATCCTCTCACCTTAGAAAAGTCTACTGTGAAAAATATAGGCACCCAGCCACTCACCTCACACCCTGAAGCCTTTGATAATACACTGCCTTTGCATGATTTAATTCTCTTCCTTCTATTTTACTGCTCTCTCATAAGATTTTCACCTAGGGGGCTCATAATTTGCTGAAACCCATTTGTGGTTCTAAAGATCTTCCTGAAGGATTTTGACCTTGGGCTCTGCTAGACACTGCTCACATGATCAGGTCATCCGAATTAAGTCCCCATCCATCCCAGCTCCACACCCAATCTACTGAGCATGGTATCATAGAGAAGTTCTCATTATTAAGATTTCGAGACGTTCATCTGCCTTCTTTTTGTGAATTCCTTATATTGCCTCACCTTCTCAATTGCATTAAGTTTGTGCCCCTACATTTCTTTCTTTCCTTAGACTCTATCTGTACATTTCCATCTTAGGTCGAGTTCTCCCAGAAGCAAAATTTGAGGCGAGGGTTTGGGTGCAAGTGTTTGTGAAATAAATTCTTCCAGGAGAAACCAACTGGCCAGGAAGTGAGGACACTCAACAGCAGGAGGTTCAAGCGCAACCACAGACTCAGCCTGAGCTTGCAGGGAGACCAGGACAGCAAGTCACACTGTGTGGTTAGCTGCTCCTGGAGTCAAGAGCTCAGTCCTAGGAGGGAAGCAGGAGAACAGCCCTCCTGGAGGAGGCGATCCTCTGACGAAGGCCCTTCAGCAGCAGAGCACAGGGCGGAAAATGCACACGTTGCAGGCTGAAGCTGAGGGCAGGATGGGTGAGAGCAGCGCCTGCTGCGGCTTTGCTCTTCCAGGTTCCCGAGTTGACCGATTCATTCGTTCACTTTCTGCCCTTTTATTAAATCAATGCATTCGTGATAGTGTACTTTGCTCTGTACAGCAGTGATGTGTGAGAACTCTTTCGGAGTATCTCACATTTAACACATGCCATTCATGAGGGAAGCTTGAGTTTGCAGCACCTTTTAAATGAAGATTTGCCTCCAGAAATGTGTAACGAGAATTGGAAAAATAAGGAAAGAAAGGCAGAAAAGTTCTCCTGTTTACATTACCTCAGCCACACCACTATAATAAATTAATGCCACAAATTAAAGTTGAATTTGAGTACTTTCTTTAAAACAAAAGGAAAAAAAAACATAATTAGTTGGTTGTAGGTTTTTATAATTTGATATTTGTGTTTAACTTAATAACTCTTATTCAGGAGATGCAAGAAAATGAGTAAGAACTTACTCATTTGTTATTTATGATGGAAATAATATAAATTTAAAAGTGCAGCTGCCATTTTAAAAGTAGAAAGAAGGAAAATAGACATCGAGTGACAGAAAAATACTACTTAAAAAGTGAGTCTTTGAAATCTGTTATTTCATCCCTAATTTACTAAAAAATTTAACCAGAGACCTAAAACTGTCTTTATTTCTGTGGAATATTTAAATGATATTAGACTCTCCATTTAAAATAATGTGTTTTTACTGTAAACTATGACAAATATTAAGTCATGATTGAAAATTGCATTACGCAGTTACAAGTTGCATACATTTCCATTCACTTGCACATTCCTTCAACAAATTATTAGGCATTTACTATGTTTTCTGGGGACTTGGGATAAAAAGATGATTAAGCATAACCTCTAGCATCAAATGAGCTTATTATCTAGTAATTGGAGTCAAAGAAGTTCACTAAAATGCTGTAGGATCAGATGAAAGATGTGCTTTGTACCATAGGAACATGAACAATAGAATGGCCAATTCCACATAGAAGGCCCAGGACGGGCTTCATAAAGAAGATTCTGTTTAATCAAATACTTTAAAATTAATAGGTTGACTTCAGCTACAGAGAAAAAAAAAGAGAACACTCTAGGGAAAGGGAACCAGAAAAAGTAGATCAACAAAATTCAAATGTGTGCATCAGCATGGTTTTGTAACCTAAGTATAAGTGGAAATTCCTGTGACCTGGGATATCTGGATGCATATTCAAAGAAAAAACAGGCCAACTAAATACATAAGTTAAAGAATTTAATTAATTATAAAACATTTGAGAGACTGTCCAAAGATAAGATGACCATATTTTCTTTTTTGTGTTTATTAAACTATTCATTGAAGAAAAAAATACCTACAGAAAAGGCAACACATTATGTGAATGGTTTGATGAATTGTCACAAAGGGAACACCGCTGCATAACTACCACCCAGGTCAACACAGAAACCTCCAGAATTTTCCCTGTTGTGGGATCAAGCTGGGGCCTCAGGCCAGGAGGAAGGACTCACTGATTCGAGTTTCTGTGTGTCCCATTTGACCGCCTGGCTTCATGAAGGCCAGACAGCGGAAGTCACAGAGTCAGTGGCCCTGAAAACACAGTTTGATATTTCCTTCTTTGATTTTCTGTAGCTACTGACAGAAGAGAATTCAAGCCTCCAGCACCACCAGGTCTTCCGAGAGAATAGATTTTCCATGCATTGAGAAACTACCCCATCCTCTCCTCTAGTGTAGAATGTCGTTGCCACTTCCAGCTCCTTCATTCCGTACTCTGCAACCTTCACTTACTTTGTTCCTCTGTCTCTGTTTTCTTTAGTTTTCTCCACCTAGAATTCTCTATATTCACTTAAGACTGGTAGATACTTGAAATCCTCAGTTGACCTTTCTTTTCTGGGCATACAGTTACACTAAGTCTCCCTGCTTCCCTCTAAAATAGAGGTGGTTGTGTGAGTAAATTCCTACCAAGGGAATAGGAGCTGGTATGATAGGCATCACTTGGATTATGCCTCCACAGAAAATGGCTTTCTAAGTTCCTTTATCAACTTCACCAACAACATGCACAAGACAGGGCAGAGCCATGAGGAACAAAATGAGTCCCTGAGTCATCATGTGGAGGGGAGCTTCCTGACAACCAGGAATGTAGTCTGAAATTTTTCATGAGGAAGAATAGAACTCTTGTAGGAAGCCACTGGAACGTTGGTGTACGTTTGTTACATCAGCCAGTGCTACTCATATACCAGCCAGCAGCAAAGCCAACGAGCAGGAAGCATTCACCCTGTAGAAAAGAAAATGCATTCATGTGAGGGATTTTAATGTGCATGCATGAAGGAAATATGGACTGTTGGGAGAAAGGGGAGGGGATTGAGGATACAGGCCCTAAGAGGGAGGAGACAAGAAGAAAGCACTTTGCAGAAACGTGAGCTCATGCGCGTCCTCTGTCACTGTGAAGTCTTAGCTTATTGCTGGAGCAAGAGGGATAATGACAATCACTGGGTAGGAAAGAGATATGATGGCATTGTGTTTCCAAATGATCACCATATATGCAACTAGACTAAAAGGTGGAGGCAACGAGAGCAGCCTCTAGTCTCTTCTCAAGCCAGGCTCCAAGACCATGAGGTGAGACAGTAGCAAAAGAGAAGTGGAAGGGCGAGAGAAAGGGGTAAAAGAGTCATCACTCATGAAAACAGAATTCACCAGATCTGGTTGTAAGTGAAAAGAAAATGGAAGGCAAAACACAGAGACAACATGTTCAGTGGTTGATTGGATGTGGAGAGAGAGAGGGAAGGTTGAACAGGTGGAGCACTGGATATTATCAGGGCAAGGAATCAACACTGTGTGATGCTGCAACAGAGGATGCATTTATCAAAATCCATAGAATGTGCAACACAAAGTGGACCCCAGCATCAACTATCGACTTTAGTTAATAATGACATATCATCGATAATATTGGCTCATCCATTGTAACAAATACACCACATTAATGGAAGGAGTCCATTATAGTGGAGGCTGGAGCAGGAGAGAGGAAGCGTCTGGGAACCTGAGTACTTTCCATTCCAGTTTTCTCTAAATCTAAACCTGCTCTAATAAATAAAAGCTAATAACTCAGGAAAAAATGGATGCTTACAAGTTATAATTTGGATGCATGTTTTAAGATATGATTGTACATTCCTAACCTGGTTTATGTCTTCCTTTGTGTAGATCTTACGTCATGCTCATCCTGGAGAGTGGGAAGAGGAGGCCCTTCTCATGTTACTTTGTTGTGTCATCACTTATAAGATTAGAACTTGCCATCATTGCTTAAACATTCAACCACTAGCTTTAAACACTTTAAGCTAAGTTAAAAAAAAATCACCACAAGTTCAGTTTTAAAAAATCGTTTTCCATTTTACAGTTACTCAAACAAAAGAAATGAAAATTTGAGTGACTTAATTTTGATCTCCTTCCAAGGGTGAGCAGAGGCTGACAATGAAGTCATTACTAAGCTCCAGAATTTTCCCTGTTGTGGGATCAAGCTGGGACCTCAGGCCAGGAGGAAGGACTCACTGATTCGAGTTTCTGTGTGTCCCATTTGACCGCCTGGCTTCATGAAGACCAGACAGCGGGAGTCACAGAGTCAGTGGCCCTGAAAACACAGACCACTTGATATTTCCTTCTTTGATTTTCCGTAGCTACTGACAGAAGAGAATTCAAGCTTCCAGCACCACCTTCAGAAGGTACCACTGGAGTGAGCCACTCTAGACCACAGCCCCAGATCCAGTTTCAGACAAATGTTTTCCCTCTGTAACCACTGCTGCAGATCCCTGGGCTGAGGAAGATGAAACGTGATCACTAGTCTACAGGATGCACATCTAGGAAGAGCTTCTCTCAGTATCCTATTCCCGCCCGAAACACGAGCCTCTCTCAGCTGCACATGGGTGGGTTAGCCACCCTGGGGATCCTCGAACCCAAGAAGGGACAAAAATGGGTCACCAGGACCTGCCCTTCCACTGAACTGGGGCCACAGGCTCTCGCGTCATGTGTGGGATGGCACCAGAGTTGGGAGGGTCTTTACTGAAGGGACATGGGCAAAAACCAAGTGGAAGACAGGTTCCGACAAGATTCTTCCACTTGAAAGAAACTTATCAGGGTTCAGAACAGGGTATCTCCACCTCCCAGGTGACTACTGGTTTTTTGTTTTGTTTTGTTTTGTTTTGTTTCTTTTTTTTTTTTTTCTTTTTGACATGGAGTCTTGCTCCTGTCGCACACGCTGGTGGAGTGCGATGGTGCGATCTCGGCTCACCGCAACCTCCCCCTCGCAGGTTCAAGTGATTCTCCTTCCTAAGCCTCCCGAGTAGCTGGGATTACAGGCTTGCACCACCACGCCCAGCTAATTTTTGTATTTTTAGTAGAGACAGGGTTTCATCATGTTGGCCAGGCTGGTCTCGAATTCCTGACCTCAGGTCATCCACCTGCCTCGGCCTCCCAAACCGAAGTGCTGGGATTATAGGCGTGAGCCACTGCATCTGGCCCCCAGGTGACTATTAATACTTTTAGGTCTTATCGTTCCTTGTCGTGGAGGGCCGCCCTCTTCACTGTAGGATGCTTAGCAGCATACCTGGCCCTGACCCACTAGATACCAGCAGCAATGTCCCAGTTGAGACCATCAAAAAAAGTCTACAGACATTGCCAGATGTTCCCTGGTGAGGAATGAAGGGTCACAAAAATCACCCCACAATGAGAACGACTGGTATAGGAGATGCCCCTAATGTTACAGGGACTGGTGTTGGACAGGACAATAACGCTTACCTACTTTTCAACTTTTTAACTAGTAGCTGCTATGCGGTGCCCAAAGAAATAATCCACTGGATTCATAGTTCAGTAAATTATCTCTCCATTTTCAAAGAAAATGAGGGCTGAGAGCTGTCTATGCATCCATTCAACACAGAGCAGGTGAGGCTGAGTTTTAGCAAGCAATTTCACCAACAGAGCCTCCCAAGGTACTAAATCCCACAACAGAGAGGCTGCTTCTGATACAAAATGTATCTTTATGGGGAAAATTGCATCAGAATAGTTCATATGAAAAGGCCAAACTGCATGATTCATTTTGGAAGAGTATTTCTAAAAGTGAGCCCTATTTTAAAAATTCACATTTTTATTTTTATCCAGGACTCTGATAGTTCCACTAGAGATCAATGATTCGTTCTCAGAGGGGAAATAAGAAGCTGTTGAATCTTGGTCTTCTATTGCTTGAAACCATTCCACCTCTGTGAACTCATTTCATATTTTAAGCTCCCAAAAAAGACTAAAAAATTTAACAAACTCCCATGTGACCACATATTGCTAATAGAACAACTTATAATTTTTAAAATGTCCACCTTTCTGAAAAGATACTTAGTATCATCCGCCATAGGATAGGTTTCAGTGCAGTTCCGTCCCAATTTTGAGCTCATCCAAAACGTTCATATATATGTATTAATTTATCTGAAATATTTTCATTGAGACTACTTTATTCCAGAAATTATCCTAAGCATTGGGAATGATTCTTTGGCTAAAAGGCATGAGAAAGCCTACATAAGTCTGACAGTTCCATAGAAGATACACTCAGCTAACTGGAAACTGAAATCTTATGCTACAAGGTCTATGGCTGGGAGTGCAGGGTGCTTCTGTGTGGAAAGCACATAACCTAGACCC